>NC_000022.11:37648957-37800473 GCF_000001405.40 Homo sapiens | reverse complement strand
AATATGGAGTCAACCCAAGCGCACATCAATGGATGAATGGATGAAGAAAATGTGGTATATAAACAAAGGGAATATTATTCAGCCACCAATAAGAAGGAAATCCTGTCATTTGCAACAACACAGATGGAACTGAAGGTCATCATATTAACTGAAATAAGCCAGGCAGAGAAAGACAAATATTGCATGTTTTCACTCATACATGAACACTAAAAAAGTGGATCTTTGCCAGCCTGGTCACCGTGGTGAAACCCCATCTCTCCTAAAAATACAAAAATTAGCCGGGCGTGGTGCCAGGCGCCTGTAATTCCAGTTACTCAGGAGGCTGAGGCAGAAGAATCACTTGAACCCAGGAGGTGGAGGTTGCGGTGAGCCCAGATTGCGCCATTGCACTCTCCAGCCTGGGCAACAGAGCGAGACTTCATCTCAAAAAAAAAAAAAAAAAAAAGGGGGATCTCGGCCTGGCGCAGTGGCTCACACCTCTAATCCCAACACTTTGGGAGGCCGAGGCGGGAGGATCACCTGAGGTCGGGAGTTCGAGACCAGTCTGACCAACATGGAGAAACCCCGTCTCTACTAAAAATACAAAATTAGCTGGGCGTGGTGGCGCATGCCTGTAATCCCAGCTACTTGGGAGGCTGAGGCAGGAGAATTGCTTGAACCCGGGAGGCGGAGGTTGTGGTGAGCTGAGATCGTGCCATTGCACTCCAGCCTGGGTAACGAGTAAAATTCCGTCTCAAAAAAAAAAAAAAAAAAAGGCTGGGCGTGGTGGCTTACGCCTGTAATCCCAACACTTTGGGAGGCCGAGATGGGCGGATCACGCGGTCAGGAGATGGAGACCATCCTGGCTCACATGGTGAAACCCCGTCTCTACTAAAAAACCCCGACTCAAAAAAAAAAAAAAAAGTGGATCTCACAAAGATGGAGAGTAAATTGGTGGTTACCAGAGGCCAGGAAGGATAGCAAGGAGGGGAGGAAGAAGAGAAGCTGATCAATGGGTACAATATACAGTTAGCTAGAAGAAATAAGACATAGTGTTCCATAGATCAGTAGGGTGACTGCAGTTAACCATAACCCACTGTATACTTCAAAAATAGCTACAGGAGAATAATTTGCATGCTCCCAGCATAAAGAAAAGATAAATGTTTAAGGTGATGGATATCCCAGTTCTTCTAATTTGGTCATTATGCTTTCTATGAATAAGCCGTCTTGTCACCCCTGTCTCAGGTGAGCGGCAACTATCTGAGGCCAGTAGCCCAGGAGTAAGAAGAATTTACCAAGACAGTTATAGGTAAAGAAAGGCACATTTATTAGAGAAGGTATGAAAATATGTTGCAGCCGGGAGTGATGGCTCACGCCTGTAATCCCAGCACTTTGGGAGGCTGAGGCGTACAGATCACCTGAGGTCAGGAGTTCAACACCAGCCTGGCCAACATGGCAAACTCCATCTCTACTAAAAATACAGAAATTAGCCGGGCGTGGTGGCACATGCTTGTAGTCCCATTTACTTGGGAGGCTGAGGCAGGAGAATCCCTTGAGTCTGGGAGGCAGAGATTGCAGTGAGTCAAGATTGCGCCATTGCACTCCAGCCTGGGTGACACGGTGAAAACTTGTCTCAAAAAAAAAAAAAAAATAGAAAAGGCCGGGTACGGTGGCTCACGCCTGTAATCCCAGCACTTTGGGAGGCTGAGGCAGGTGGATCACGAGGTCAGGAGATCAAGACCATCCTGGCTAACACAGTGAAACCCCATCTCTATTAAAAATACAAAAAAATTAGCCGGGAGTGGTGGCACGTACCTGTAGTCCCAGCTACTTGGGAGGCTGAGGCAAGAGAATGGCGTGAACCCGGGAGGCGGAGCTTGCAGTGAGGCGAGATCGCGCCACTGCACTCCAGCCTGGGCGACAGAGCGAGACTCCGTCTCAAAAAACAAAAAAAGAAAGAAAAAAAGAAAAAGAAAATGCGTTGCAAATTTGCAACAGGCAGCACAGCAGAGAAGGGGCTGTCTGCAAGGAGACAGAGGCTTGCTAGGGACGGGACAGGATGGTGCTCGTGCTGTATGCTGGAGAGGGCTTTACGCAGTACTGATAGTGCCGAGGTTGCAGTGAGCTAATTTGCAATTTTCTGTCAGCTGAGCGTCTGGTGATGGCTGGTTGCAGGAAGATTGTGAATTATTTGTGCAGGAGGGCATGTGTTCTGGAGCATGAAGAAAGGCACACTTAGAGCTTACCTGCTTTCGCTTTTTGCTTTCCCTCAATCTCACCAGTTCAACTCCTCCTTCCTAATTAGGACTCCACAACCCCCTCTCATAGCCCCTGTCCTTTCCTTCTTAGCACTTTTCACAAAATCACACTTTACAATGACAGCAGTGCCCATCTTCCCCACTAGAGACTGAGCCCCACGAGGCAAGCACGTGTCTGTTCCTTTCACACCCAGCACCCAGCAAGCAAATAAACAATCTGCACCCGCCTGGGCCTTTCCCACTTCCAAGGGGCTTTGACGTCCACACTTTGAGTCAAGATTCACACTCTGTGAGGACGGGGCAAACGGCAGGTGGAGGCACCCGAGGGGAAAGGAGCAAGGCTTGAGATAGAGGCGGGGGTGGGGGCGAGGGAGAGGCGGGGGGCAGCAGATGGCCCCTCACTCAGGGATGGAGGGGTGGCTGCTCTAGCCTGGGTGCTGGGTCCCCTCCTCTCAGCCCAGTCCTGTGATTCCTCTTAGAAACCTGCCAGAAACAGGGGCTCTCCCCTCCTCCTGTCCAGGCTAGGTGTCACTTAGATTCTCAAAACTGAAAAGTAATCAACATTTGAGGGCCCCAGGAATATAACAGAGAGTACAGTCAATGGGGATTTTTTGTTTTTTTCTTTTTTTTAATTTTAATTTTTGTGGGTATATAATAGATGTATATATGTATGGGATACATGAGATTTTGTTTTGTTTTGTTTTGTTTTTGAGATGGAGTCTTGCTCTGTTGCCCAGGCTAGAGGGCAGTGGCATGATCTCGGCTCACTGCAACCTCTGCCTCCCGGGTCAAGCGATTCTCCTGCCTCAGCCTCCTGAGCAGCTGGGATTACAGGCACGCGCCACCAGGCCCTGGCTAATTTTAGGATTTTTAGTAGAGACGGGGTTTTGCCATGTTGGCCAGACTGGTCTCGAACTCCTGACCTCAGGTGGTCTGCTTGCCTCACCCTTGCAAAATGCTGGGATTACAGGCATGAGCCACCGCGCCTGGCTAGAGATGTTTTGATAGAGGCACGCAGTGTGAAATGAGCACAGTCAATGGGTTTTTACAGACGACTCCTCTTCCTTTCCTCACACTGCTGTGCAGCGACTGGACAGTGTTCCCCTGCCTTCAGCTCTCTGCCCAACACACCGGGCCCTCAGCTGGGGGCCTCGCGTGGTTATATGTTGGGTATGGAGGGATTCTGCTCACATCCCCCAGCCCCAGCCCTATTATGCGATGGGTAACTGTGTGGGTAACTGTGTGGGGAGGCAGAAAAATGGCCTGTAAATATGACCACATCCTAATCTCTGAAACTTTCAAAAATGTTCCTTTAACGGCAAGGGAGAACAAAGGTTGCTAATCACCCGGCCTGGAGATGGGAGATGATCCTGGATTATCCTGGTGGGCCCAGTGGAATCACAAGGAATTTTTTTTTTTTTTTTGAGACGGAGTTTTGCTCTTGTTGCCCAGGCTGGAGTGCAATGGCACAATTTCAGCTCACTGCAACCTCCATCTCCTGGGTTCAAGCTATTCCCCTGCCTCAGCCTCCCGAGTAGCTGGGATTACAGGCATGCGCCACCACGTCTGACTAATTTTATATTTTTAGAAGAGACGGGGTTTCTCCATGTTGGTCAGGCTGGTCTCGAACTCCTGACCTCAGGTGATCTGCCTGCCTCAGCCTCCCAAACTGCTGGGATTACAGGCGTGAGCCACCGTGCCCGGCCAAGGATCCTTAAATGGGAGAGAGGGAGGCAGAAGAGTCAGAATCAGAGACAGTGTCCTGAGAAAGGCCTGCCCACTACTGCTGACGTTAGGATGGAAGGACCCATGAACCCAGGAAAGCAGGCAGCTTCTGAAAGCCAGAAAAAAAGGCAAAAACCAGATTCTCCCTTAGAGCCTGCAGAAGAAATGCATACCTGCTGACTTGTTGATTTTAGTTCAGTAAAATCATTTTGGACTCCTGACCTCCAGCTCTGTAAGATAATAAATGTGTGTGTTTCAGCCGCTGAGTTTGGGGTAACTGGTTAGAGCAGCAACAGGAAAAGAATCCACTGTTGTTGATGGAGATTTGAGTTGTTTCCACTTTCTTCTTTTTTTATAGAGATGGGCGTCTCACTATGTTGCCCAGGCTGGTCTCAAACTCCTGGGCTCAAGTGATCCACCCACCTTGGCCTCCCAGAGTGCTGCGATTATAGGCGTGAGCTGCTGTGCCTGGACATTTCCAGTTTCTTGCTTTGCAGACAATGTCGCTGTGACTTTCCTACTGCAAGTGCCCTGGTGCAAAGGGGAAGGAGCTAGAAGTATACACAGCTTCAGCATTACCAGGTAGTGCCACCTCCTTTCCAAACTGCACCTGCCCCGGGTTGCCATATGGACAATGGACTAGGGAAGGGCAGAAGAAGGCAGTGAAACCATTAGGGGCCATCTCAGTGATCCAAGTTCTGAATTAAAGTGGTGGCCGTGGGGGTGGAAGGAAGAGGCAGATATGAGAAATATTGAGGAAAAGTCCTTGCTAAAGGGTTGGCTGTGGGGGGTGAGGGAAGAGATGGAAGGACTCCCAGGCATCTGGAACAGAAACAAAGATGGCGCATGGCCCGGCACGGTGGCTCACGCCTGTAATCCCAGCACTTTGGGAGGCCGAGGTGGGCAGATCACTTGAGATCAGGAGTTTGAGACCAGCTTGGTCAATATGGTGAAACCCTGTCTCTACCAAAAACACAAAAATAAGCTGGGTGTGGTGGTGGGCGCCTGTAATCCCAGCTACCCTGGAAGCTGAGGCAGGAGAATCGTTTGAACCTGGGAGGCAGAGGTTACAGTGAGCTGAGATTGCACCACTGCACTCCAGCCCAGACAACAGAGTGAGACTCTGTCCAAATAAATAAATAAAACCAACAACAACAAAAAGAAGAAAAAAAAAAAGGCGGGCACAGTGGCTCACGCCTGTAATCCCAGCACTTTGGGAGACCAAGGTAGACGATCACCTGAGGTCAGGAGTTCGAGACCAGCCCAGCAGACATGGTGAAACCCCATCTCTACTAAAAATATACAAAATAGGCCGGGCGCGGTGGCTCACGCCTGTAATCCCAGCACTTTGGGAGGCTAAGACGGGTGGATCACGAGGTCAGTAGATCGAGACCATCCTGGCTAACAAGGTGAAACCCCGTCTCTACTAAAAATACAAAACAATTAGCTGGGCGTCGTGGCAGGCGGTTATAGTCCCAGCTACTCAGGAGGCTGAGGCAGGAGAATGGCATGAACCCGGGAGGCGGAGCTTGCACTGAGCCGAGATCGTGCCACTGAACTCCAGACTGGGTGACAGAGCGAGACTCCGTTTCAAAATAAAATAAAATAAAATAAAATAAAATAATTTTTAAAAATACAAAATTAGCCAGGTGTGATGGCACACGCACGCCTGTAGCCCCAGCTACTCGGGAAACTGAGATAGGAGAATCACTTGAACCCGGGAGATGGAGGCTGCAATGAGCTGTGATCTCATTATTGCACTCCAGCCTGGGTGAGGCACAGCAAGACTCTGCCTCGTAACAAAACAAAACAAAACAAAACAAAACAAAACAAAACAAAACAAAGATGGCCGGCCTTCTTTTGTCCTGCCCTGGCCACTGGCTGTCCTGGTTCCCCCCTCCTCCTTGACAGCCTCACCCTGTGGAGGCTGACCTCTCACCTGCTTCTCCCAAGTTAGGAAAACCCATCCCATGTGGGTTAGAAGTCAAATGAACAGAAAGACAAACACACATTTCCAGACAAAGAAATAAAAATGCAGGTGACAGTTTAACAGTTAAACTTTAACTGATCTAACTGAACTAAACCTTAACTAATTTCCAAGTTTGTTTTTGTTTGTGTTTCTTTTTCTTTTTTTTTTTTTTTCTGAGATGGAGTCTCGCTGTCTCCCAGGCTGGAGTGCAAGATGGTCTCGATCTACTGACCTCGTGATCCCCTCGCCTGGGCCTCCCAAAGTGCTGGGATTACAGGCGTGAGCCACCGCGCCCAGCCTGTTTGTGTTTCTTAAGACAGGTCTTCTCTGTAGCCCAGGCTGGAGTGCAATTATGGCTATTGCAGCTTTGAACTCCAGGGCTCAATCGATCCTCTTACCTCAGCCTCCCAAATAGCTGGGACTACAGGCACATGCCACCACACCAAAAATACTAATTTTGGTATTTTCTGTAGAGACAGTGTTTCACATGTTGCCCAGGTTTGTCTCAAACTCTTGGGCTCAAGCGATCCTCCCACCTTGGCCTCCCAAAGTGTTGGGATTACAGGTATGAGCCATTTCCAAGTTTTAAAGCACCATGGCACAGACTGAGGGTTTTGAACCCACAGACATAGTTTAGCCTCTTGCATGGACGGCGTCCTTTGGAAGGCCATGCGGCTCTCACATAGAGGAGGCTACATGTGCAGACCTGGAAAAATGTCTATGATATATTAATTGACAAAAGGAAGCTAAGAAAAATATGGGGGGACCTCATTTTTATAAAATAGGGATATTAGAGAACTACATACAGGTATGTAACAGTAGTTCCCATTTATTGAGCAGTTACTATCTGCCCACACTGTGCTAAGTGATCTATCCGTAGGTATTAACATTCGGTCTTTTGCTGTTGTTATCACTTCATTTGACAGGTGGGGAAGGAACTTACCTAAAGCAGTCCAATTCCATGCTCTTTTTTTTGTTTTGTTTTTTTTTTTTTGGAGACGGAGTTTCGCTCTTGTTGCCCAGGCTGGAGTACAATGGTGCAGTCTCAGCCCACTGCAACCTCCACTTCCCACGTTCAAGTGATCCTCCTGTCTCAGCCTCCCAAGTAGCTGGGATTACAGGCACCCACCACCACGCCCAGCTAATTTTTGTATTTTTAGTAGAGACGGGGTTTCACCATATTGGCCAGGCTGGTTCCGAACTCCTCACCTCAGGTGATCCACCCGCCTCTATCTCCCAAAGTGCTGAGATTACAAGTGTGAACCACCAAGCCTGGCCTTTTGTTGTTGTTGTTGTTTATTTGTTTGTGACACAGGGTGTCACTCTGTCACTAAGGCTGAAACACAAATCATGGCTCACTGCAACCTTGAACTCCTGGGCTCAAGTGATCCTCCTGCTTCAGCCTCCCAAGTAGCTGGGACCACAGGTGCGCATCACCACGTTCAGCTAATTTTTAAAATTTCTGTAGAGATGGGGCCTCACTATATTGCCCAGGCTGGTCTTGAACTCCTGGCCTCAAGTGGTCCTCCCAGCTTGGCCTCCCAAAGTTCTGGGATTACAGGAAACTCCATGCTCTTAATCAACTCTCAAAACTGCCTTTCTCTTAACCTGGCAGGAGGTGGGCAAATTTGTGGCTAGTCTGGGGACCGCCAAGAGAAATGAGATTGGGCCCCAGTTCCTCTCTCCTGATAGGATTAGCTGCTATCTGACCCATCAGGACAGTCCTGTCCAGCTGGCAGAGAGGACACTCATGCCTCAAAGGAAATAACTCACTCCATGGGAAGTAGATGTGGACAGGTGACCCAAGCTCAGTGCCAGAGGCCAGGCATTGGTGAGGGACACAGGTGCCATGTGTGGTTTGGGCTGAAAGTCCTGTTGGACCTGCCCACTCTGGCGTCATTTCCTTTTTCTTTCTTTCCTCTTCTTTTTTTTTTTTTTTTTTTTTTTTTGAGATAGAGTCTGGATCTGTCATCCAGGCTGGAGTGCAATGGCGCAATCTCGATCGCGGCTCACTGCAACCTCTGCCTCCCAGGTTCAAGCGATTCTCCTGCCTCAGCCTCCCAAGTAGCTGGGATTACAGGCATGCACCACCACGCCTGGCTAATTTTTGTATTTTTAGTAGAGATGGGGTTTCACCATGTTGGTCAGGCTGGTCTTGAACTCCCGACCTCAGGTGATCCGCCCACGTCGGCCTCCCAAAGTGCTGGGATTACAGGTGTGAGCCACTGTGCCCGGCCTAAGTTTTGTATTTTTAGTAGAGATGGGGTTTCACCATATTGGCCAGGCTGGTCTTGAACTTCTGACCTCAAGTGATCCACCTGCCTCAGCCTCCCAAATTGCTAAGATTAAAGGTGTGAGCCACTGCGCCTGGCTTGGCATCATTTTCCTTTCAGGGAGCTGAGCTCCTGGAGTGAACTGAGAGGACTGCCTCGGGGCCCACGCAGTGCACCACTAGGCCTTGCAGAGTAGGACTGGCCTTCTTTGGACAGAGTGAGTCCTTGGGATTCCCAGACTATTCTGGAAGAGACCTCAAGAGGGAGATGCTGGGCTTCTTAACAATAAATGAATGAGGATGCAGGAGAGATTGGTTAAAAAAGCAACCGCAAGCACTGTGGCTAGGGTTGTTCTCCAAGCTGGTGAAGTGGCCCGTGAGTGCGTGTACATGTGTGGACACTCCATGTTCATAGTAATGATTTTCTCTGAGAAATGGATTTGGGTCACAGTGCACTGTTATTTTTTACTTTATACACTTCTTTTTGTTTGTTTGTTTGGTTTTTTTTTTGTTTTTTTTTTTGAGACAGAGTCTTACTCTGTCGCCCAGGCTGGAGTGCAGTGGCGCAATCTCGGCTCACTGCAAGCTCCGCCTCCCGGGTTCACGCCGTTCTCCTGCCTCAACCTCTCCGAGTAGCTGGGACTACAGGCGCCCACCACCACGCCCGGCTAATTTTTTGTATTTTTAGTAGAGACAGGGTTTCACCGTGGTCTCGATCTCCTGACCTCGTGATCCGCCTGCCTCGGCCTCCCAAAGTGCTGAGATTACAAGCGTGAGCCACCGCGCCCAGCCTAGTTTATACACTTCTATACTGTTTTAGTTTATAAACAATAAGCGTGTCTTTTTTTTTTTTTTTTTTTGAGACTGCGTCTCACTCTGTCGCCCAGGCTGGAGTGCAGTGGCACGATCTCGGCTCACTGCAACCTCCGCCTCCTGGTTCAAGTGATTCTCGTGCCTCAGCCTCCCAAGTAGCTGGGATTACAGGCACTACTTGCCACCACGCCTGGCTAATTTTTGTATTTTTAGTAGAGAGGGGTTTCACCATGTTGGCCAGGCTGGTGTTGAACTCCTGACCTCAGGTGATCTGCCAGCCTCGGCCTCCCAAAGTGCTGGGATTACAGGCGTGAGCCACTGCGGCTGGCCATGTGTATTACTTTTTTTTTTTTTTTTTTTTGAGACAGGGTCTCTCTCACTCCAGTTGCCCAGACTGGAGTGCAGTGGCTTGGCTCACTGCAGCCTCTATCTCCCTGGCTCAGGAGATTCTCCCACCTTTGCCTGCCGAGTAGTTAGGACTTACAGGCACGCGCCACCACGCCTGGCTAATTTTTTGTATTTTTCGTAGAGACGGGGGTTTCACCTGCCATCATGCTCGGATAATTTTTGTATTTTTGTATTTTTGTAGAGATGCGGTTTCACTGTGTTGGCCAGGCTGGTCTTGAATTCCTGACCTCAAGTGATCCACCTGCCTTGGCCTCCCAAAGTGCTGGGATTACAGGTGGGAGCCACCATGCCCGGCTGGGAAAATATTTTCTCCTCCATGAACCATACTCTCAATGCACTAACTGGTGCTGTGACAAGCACCAGGGACAACAGGGACTGCTCTCTGGTGAGGGCCATGCCCAACTGGGGCCCAAATGCAGCTGGCATCAGTCCCTGCAGGTATTCACATATGCTTTGGTGCTGGCTGGGGGTGGAGCACACAGCGCTGCTTGCAGGGAGGAGTGGGTTTCTTCAGAAACGTTTAGGGCCCTTCCCCCATAGACATTAAAGATGTTAAACATACCTTAGGAGGCAATGTGGGCTGGTAGGAGAAGCACCCAAATCTGCTGTGTGACCTGAGGGCATTTGCTAATCCTCTCTGGGCCATGTGGGTGATCCTGTAAACTGAAGGTTTGGATGGACTTCTTCTATCTGCTAGAAGTCCCAAAGTCTAGCATAGTGGTGAGGCCCAAGTACTGGAGGTCCAGGTTGTATGGTTTCAAATCCCAGCCCTTCCAAGTCATAAGTATGAGGGTCTTGGCAAAAATAATAATGACCCTTCTGTGCCTCAGTTTCCTCCCCTGGGCATTATAGTAATTGGCGATAATAATGGCATTTGCCTGATAGAGTTTTCTTGAGGACTAAATGGATATGTATGTTATAAATACATACGTGTGTACATACTCTGTATGTAGCAAATGATAGATATCATATGAGTTATATATCATTATATATCTCACTTAGAAGTTCCTGACACAGGCCGGGCATAGTGGCTCATGCTTGTAGTCTTGGCACTTTGGGAGGATGAGTGGGGGGTATATCACCTGTGGTCAGGAGTTCGAGACCAGCCTGGCCAACATGGTGAAATCCTGTCTTTACTAAAAATACAAAAATCAGCCGGGCATGGTGGCACGTGCCTGTAATCCCAGGTACTCGGGAGGCTGAGGCAGGAGAATCACTTGAACCCGGGAGGCGGAGGTTGCAATGAGCCGAGATCGCGCCACTGCATTCCAGCCTGGGAGACAGATCTCCGTCTCAAAAAAAACAAAAAAATGGAATTCCTGACACAAAGTAAGTGCAGTTTAAGTATTAGCTGTTTTAGTATTAGCAGTTAAGTATTAGCTGTATCATCCTTGGTATTTCAGACACCTGGACAGAAATGACGTGTTTACCCAAAACAAGGCAGCAGAGGTTCATGACCATGTTAAGTATCTTTGTTTTTGGCTAAGCTTTATATCCATTCAGTGTGGGAGCAATGGATTTTCTTCCACTGATCCAAAGCTTTGATTGGCAGTTCCACGTGACTTTACTTGAGTTTTTACTGTTTAATTTTTAAAAATTTATTTGTAATTAATTATTTTTTTGAGACGGAGTTTCACTCTTTTTTTTTTTTTTTGAGACAGAGTTTCGCTCTGTCGCCCAGGCTAGAGTGCAGTGGTGCGATCTCGGCTCCGTGCAAGCTCCACCTCCCGGGTTCACGCCATTCTCCTGCCTCAGTTTCCTGAGTAGCTGGGACTACAGGTGCCCGCCACCATGCCCAGCTAATTTTTTGTATTTTTAGTAGAGACAGGGTTTCACCCTGTTAGCCAGGATGGTCTCGATCTCCTGACCTCATGATCCACCTGCCTCGGCCTCCCAAAGTGCTGGGATTACAGGCGTAAGCCACCACGCCCGGCCAAGTTTGACTCTTGTTGCCCAGGCTGGAGTGCAGTGGCACCATCTCGGCTCACTGCAACTTCCACCTCCTGGCTTCAAGTGATTCTCCTGACTCAGCCTCCCAAGTAGCTGGGATTATAGGCGCCCGCCACCATGCCCAGTTGATTTTTTTTGTATTTTTAGTAGAGATGGGGTTTCACCCTGTTGGCCAGGCTGGTCTTGAACTCCTGACCTCAGGTGATCCACCCACCTCGGCCTCCCAAAGTGCTGGGATTACAGGTGTGAGCCACCGCGCCTGGCCTATTTTTAATTTATTAATAATATTTTTGAGACAGGGTCTCGCTCTATTGCCCAGGCTGGAATGCGGTGGTGCATGTAACGTTCACGTGCTCAGTGTAACCTTGAACTTCTGGCTCGAGCAATCCTCCTGTCTCAGCTACCCAAAGTATTGGGATTATAGGCAGCAGCCACTGTGTCCAGTCTTAAGTTCGTTTGTTTGTTCCTTTGTTTGTTTGTTTTGAAACAAGGTCTCTCTGTGTTGCCCAGGCTGGAGTGCAGTGGCACAATCACGACTCACTGCAGCTTCAACTTCCCAGGCTCAAACAGTCCTCCCACCTCAGCCTCCCCAGTACGTGGAACCACAGGCCTGCCACCATACCCAGCTAATTTTTTCTATTTTTTTTTTTTTTTTTTTTTTTTTTTTTTTGTGGAGACAGGGTCTCACTATATTGCCTAGGCTTCAGCTCTACTTTTTTTTTTTTTTTTTTTTTTTGAGACAGAGTCTCGCTCTGTCGCCCAGGCTGGAGTGCAGTGGCGTGATCTCGGCTCACCGCAACCTCTGTTCCCGAGTTCACGCCATTCTCCTCCCTCAGCCTCCCAAGTAGCTGGGACTACAGGCACCCGCCATCACGCCAGGCTAATTTTTTTTTGTATTTTTAGTAGAGACGGGGTTTCACCGTGTTAGCCAGGATGGTCTCGATCTCCTGACCTCGGAGCCCTAAGTTTTTAAAATGTAGGAATCTCTTCTTAATGTAGTTTGTTTGAAAGACCAAAAGCTCTTTTTTTTTTTTCTTTGAGATGGCATTTTGCTCTTGTTGCCCAGGCTGGAGTGCAATGGCACGATCTCGGCTCACTGCAACCTCTGCCTCCCGGGTTCAAGCGATTCTCCTGCCTCAGCCTCCCGAGTAGCTGGGACTACAGGCGCCCGCCACCGCCACCATGCCCAGCTAATTTTTTGTATTTTTAGTAGAGATGGGGTTTCACTATGTTGGCCAGAGTGGTCTCGCAGGTGATCCGCCCGCCTCAGCCTCCCAAAGTGCTGGGATTACAGGTGTGAGCCACCACACCCGGCAGGCCAAAAACTTTTTTTCTTTTTTTGAGACAGGGTCTCACTGTGTCTCCCAGGCTGGAGTGCAGTGGTGCAGTCATAGCTCGCCACAGCCTCAACCTCCCGATTCAGGTGATCCTCCCACCTCAGCCTCCCGAGTAGCTGGGACTACAAGCCACCATGCCTGGCTAATTTTTGTAATTTTTTTTTTAATTGATCATTCTTGGGTGTTTCTCGCAGAGGGGGATTTGGCAGGGTCATAGGACAATAGTGGAGGGAAGGTCAGCAGATAAACATGTGAACAAGGGTCTCTGGTTTTCCTAGACAGAGGACCCTTTGGCCTTCTGCAGTGTTTGTGTCCCTGGGTACTTGAGATTAGGGAGTGGTGATGACTCTTAACGAGCATGCTGCCTTCAAGCATCTGTTTAACAAAGCACATCTTGCACCGCCCTTAATCCATTTAACCCTGAGTGGACACAGCACATGTTTCAGAGAGCACAGGGTTTGGGGTAAGGTCACAGATCAACAGGATCCCAAGGCAGAAGAATTTTTCTTAGTACAGAACAAAATGAAAAGTCTCCCCTGTCTACTTCTTTCTACACAGACACAGCAACCATCCGATTTCTCAATCTTTTCCCCACCTTTCCCCCCTTTCTATTCCACAAAACCGCCATTGTCATCATGGCCCGTTCTCAATGAGCTGTTGGGTACACCTCCCAGACGGGGTGCTGGCCGGGCAGAGGGGCTCCTCACTTCCCAGTAGGGGCGGCTGGGCAGAGGCGCCCCTCACCTCCCGGACGGGGCGGCTGGCCGGGCGGGGGGCTGACCCCCCCACCTCCCTCCCGGACGGGGCGGCTGCCGGGCGGAGGGTCTCCTCACTTCTCAGATGGGGCGGCTGGGCAGAGACGCTCCTCACCTCCCAGACGGGGTCGTGGCCGGGCAGAGGCGCTCCTCACATCCCAGACGGGGCGTTGGGGCAGAGGCGCTCCCCACATCGCAGACGATGGGCGGCCGGGCAGAGACGCTCCTCACTTCCTAGATGGGATGGCGGCCGGGAAGAGGCGCTCCTCACTTCCCAGATGGGATGGCGGCCAGGCAGAGACGCTCCTTACTTTCCAGACTGGGCAGCCAGGCAGAGGGGCTCCTCACGTCCCAGACGATGGGCGGCCAGGCAGAGGCTGCACTCTCGGCACTTTGGGAGGCCAAGGCAGGCGGCTGGGAGTTGGAGGTTGTAGAGAGCCGAGATCACGCCACTGCACTCCAGCCTGGGCACCATTGAGCACTGAGTGAACGAGACTCCGTCTGCAATCCCGGCACCTCGGGAGGCCGAGGCTGGCGGATCACTCGCGGTTAGGAGCTGGAGACCAGCCCGGCCAACACAGCGAAACCCCGTCTCCACCAAAAAAATACGAAAACCAGTCAGGCGTGGCGGCGCGCGCCTGCAATCGCAGGCACTCGGCAGGCTGAGGCAGGAGAATCAGGCAGGGAGGTTGCAGTGAGCCGAGATGGCAGCAGTACCGTCCAGCTTTGGCTCGGCATCAGAGGGAGACCGTGGAAAGAGAGGGAGAGGGAGACCGAGAGGGAGAGGGAGACCGAGAGGGAGAGGGAGGCCGAGAGGGAGAGGGAGGCCGAGAGGGAGAGGGAGAGGGACTGGGACTGGGACTGTAATTTTTTTTTGTAGAGACTGGGTTTTGCCATGTTGCCCAGGCTGGTCTCAAACTCCTGGGCTCAAGCGACCCGCCCACCTCAGCATCCCAAAGTGCTGGGATTACAGGCGTGAGACACTATACCTGAGTTCAAGTGATTCTCCTGCCTCAGCTTCCCTAGTAGCTGGGATTACACGTGCCCACCACCACGCACGGCTAATTTTTTGTATTTTTAGTAGAGGTGGGGTTTCACCATGTTGGCCAGGCTGGTCTCAAACTCCTGACCTTGTCATTCGCCCACCTTGGCCTCCCAAAGTGCTGGGATTACAGGCGTGAGCCACCGCGCCTGGCCTCACCTCAGCCTTTCTAGTAGCTGAGACCACAGCTACACCACTGCACCCATCTAATTAAAAACAAACAAACAAACAAACAAACATTTTCTACAAATGAGATCTCACGGTGTTGCCCAGGCTGGTCTTGAACTCCTGGCCTCAAGCAATCCTCCCACCTTGGACTCCCAAAGTGCTGGGATTACAGGCATGAGCCACAGAGCCGGCCTGTAACAAGACTGAAGGGAGGCCCATCTCATGCATGAGCATGAAAGCCCAATCGTCATGCTTATGAACGACAAAAGGATCATACAGCGAACATTTACTGGACATTGCCCTTAGTGCTCCACAGGTACTGTCTCATATAACACTCACCATGTCCCTGTCATTTTCCACATGTAAGAGGTGAGCGAACTGAGGCCCAGAGAGGTTGAGAGACATAAGTGGGTCACACAGGTAACTGGCAGGCGGTCTGCTGTGCACATGGGGGGCATATACAGGCATGCACATGGGCTGTGTATGTGAGCAGGAGTGTATAGAATGGGGCAGCTGTGAGCACAGGTGTTCATGAGTGCATATATGGCTCTGTTTACATGCTGTGGACGTGGGTGTGCCCAGCATGAGTTTTTTACAGTCTTGGCAGGCTCTGCTTCCCCAGCCTGGAGCACCCTCTCTCCTTTGGTCCCCCGATTACACCTATTTATCTTTGAAGCCTCGGTGCAGGCGTCACCTGTCCTGTGCAGCCTTCCCTGGCTCCTCTGGCCGAGTTAGTTGCACCGGGTCAGTTGCATCAGCTCTCCCTGGTGTTGCTGTCTCTCCCCTTGCCCTTGCAGGGTGAGCGCAGGGACAGGGCGTGTCCCTTCATGTCTGTGTCACTCAGGTGCCTGGAACAGGCTTGACCAGGATATTAACAGGAATAACAGCTGCTACTCAGACTCAGTGGGCCTGGCCACGCTCAGGGCCTCACTTAATCCCATTTCTTCATCTCATCTCAGGTGAGGAAGTGAATTTCCAGGGAAGATCATTGATTGAAGCAGGTGTGTGGCAGAGCCAGCCAGTGAGCCCTGAGTTTGGTGCCAGCCCTGCCACTCCCCTACCATGCTCCGTTCAGGACTATTTTAGTATTTTTTAAAACTTTATTTTGGAATAAATATCACATGCACATGGGAAATAGTGCAGAACATATGAAAGCATTTAACACTGAAATGTGTCCCACCACCCCTGTCCCCTGGCCTTCTGGCTCCCTCCCCGAGGAGGCAACCACTATTCCCAGGGTCTTGTGTGTCCAGGGCCCCTTCACACTGGGTTCCCTCACCCTGGGGGTGTGTGTGCACAAATGTATGTGTGCAAATCCTTCTGGAGAGGTTTAAGCATGAATAAACACAGATGCAAATCTGCACAGGACACAGTTTCCTTTTTTTTTTTTTTTTTTTGATACAGAGTTTTGCTCTTGTCACCCAGGCCGGAGTTCAATGGCATGATCTAGGCTCACTGCAACCTCTGCTTCCCGGGTTCAAGCGATTTTCGTGCCTCAGCCTCCCAAGTAGCTGGGATTACAGGCACTACTTGCCACCACGCCTGGCTAATTTTTGTATTTTTAGTAGAGACGGGGTTTCACCATGTTGGCCAGGCTCGTCTCAAACTCCTGACATCAGGTGATCCCCCGTCTCGGCCTCCCAAAGTACTGGGATTACAGGTGTGAGCCACCACACCTGGCCCACTTCCTTCTAATGCTGGAATGAATGTTCCTGTCAACTTTCAGACACACTTGGCCAGTGCAGCCAGCTGTCCTGCTCTTGAGTGAGGACACAGCCACGTGGGAGCAGCTGGAATGTGGCTCTGGAGATGCCACAGTTGAGGTCACAGCTAGTAGATGACACAGACTTTCAGCAACTGAATGAGTGAAGAGGGGAGAGACTGCATGAGATTGGAGTTGGGTTGTGGGGACACCCTGGGGTGGGGGCCAGGGACACCTATAAACCTGTCTTCCTCAGGAGATGGTGAGAATCTGCTGGAGTCCAAAGGGTCAGGGCCAGCCAGGCCCCTGTGAAGTTCTCCCTGTAGCGCCTCCCACCCCCACATCAGTGCATCCATGTCACACTGCTGGTGGGGCAAGTCCACCATCTGTCACCTTTCAGACACATTTGGCCAGTGCAGTCAGCTGCCCCACCCGAGAGTGGACACAGCCACATGGGAGCATCTGGGATGTGGCTCTGGAAATGCCACAGTCAAGGTCCCAGGGCCAGTGGATGGCCAAGCCAGGTGACCAACTTGAAGAAGCAGGTTCCTCCCACTCCGCCGGCCTGGTTGAGTCTTGGCCTTGAGAAGCCACAAGGGAGCTCATGGCGGGGAGACCAACTGGGGCCAGGATGGCCAGAGCTAGGGAGGGGCTGGGAGCAGCCCATGCAAGAGCTCAGGGGCTCTGGAAAGAAAGCGCGGTTGGCAGTCCCCGGGACGCAGGCGATGAAGGTGGAGCTGCGGGGTGGTGACAGGGCAAGGGCCAGCCAATCACACAGGCACCCCGAAACGCCTCCTGCCCTTTGCAGGGGGATCTAGCCTTTCTGGGCCCTTTGGGAATAAGCTGTTGCCCTGCTTTACTAGGAAACTGAGGCAGCAGTGTGGAAGTGGCTCCACATTGAGGCCTCCTCATGTGGCCTCCACATGAGGCTCATTCAAGTCAGCCTCACCAAGGTACACCCAGACCTCCCCCAATGCCTACCACAAGCAGGGGGAACCAAGGCACCTGGTCCCCAGGCAGCCTCCAATGAGAAGACCTGGGTCAGCTCAGGAGGCCACCTGGGCTGTGAGACCAACTGACCTGGCCGTCACCTCATTGTGCTGCTGAGTCCCGGCCCCCTACCGGGGACAACTGTGCTACCTCCCTCATCAGGCTGTTCTGGGAATTAAAGGAGCTTGTGAGTGAAAATGTTTGTTCCAGGGTCCAGCCCACAGTAAGTGCTCAGCAAAAAAAAAAAAGGCTTCGTGACTTTTAGGGAGGCACCCTAGGTAGGGAGGGGATTTGGGCTCTAGAGTCAGACCTGCTCGGATGTGAGTCACTAAATTATTGACCTTGGGTAAGTCATGTCCTTCTCTGAGCCTCAGTTTCCTCCTATAACAAGGGGAGAGCAATAAGTACTTCAAGGTGTTGTTGCGAGCATTAAAGGTTTGCCGTTCATCATGTTTGCTCGTGGCGGAAGCTCCATCAAAGTCAAGTCCCCTCGTAAAGTACTGTGGGACGCCGGGATGACAAGGGTGACTCACAGTTAAATCCTGGCCCTTTCGTGTACCGGAAACCTCCATTAGCCTCCAGCCCTTCAGGACGGCTGCCGGGCTTCCCAGTGGGTTTATGGGGACATCTGGTCCCTTGCCATTTGGTGTGGAGCTGAGGCTGTGGCTATTTCCTGCCTTGAGGGTGACTGACTCAGTGGTCATTCACTTCCAGTCAGTCAGTCCGTCAATCAACAAACACTCATCCCTCGGAGACAGACACCAGTGCTCTGTACTGGGCAGTGGGGACACAGAAGCGATTCAGAGCTGGTCCCTGGCCTCAGGGGGCTCACAGTCTGGGGGAGCCATAAGGAAAAAACATGTCAAGTTCCAAGTACTGTGGGATCCAGAGCAGGCTTCCATCCCCATCTAGGGGATCTTGGGGGGCTTCCTGGAGGTGGCAGATGATGACTGATCTGAGTCCTGAGTCTTAGGGGGTCTGCCGGGGAGGGGCTGGGAGTGGAAAGTGCATGCAGGGGGACGGCAGTGAGGATGGAAGAGTGCGCTACTGCTCCGTGCAGTGGAAGCCTGGAGCCTAGCGGATCCAAAGGGGTAGAGAAAGGAGACCACGGCAGACAGAGGGGCTTGCATGCCAGAACCCCATCCCAAGGGAACAGGGAGTCAGGGCAGAGATTCACAGAGGGGAGCAACATGGCCGCTCCCAGTTTTAGAAATCCCCCGCTGTGGGTGTGTGGATTGGACAGGAGGGAAAACCTGTCTGGGAATGAGGGAGGAGGCAAGCAGGGCAGGGGCATGGGGCCCAGGAACAGCAGCGGCCGAGAGAGGGAAGGGGAACCAGCCAGGGCTTGGTGGGGGTAGGGGAAGTCGGGCAGGACCCAGTGGCCAGGTCAAACCCTCCTGGACTGCCAGGTGCCCTTGACCTGCTGGGGGTCTGGGTGGTGCTGGGGCAAGATGTTGAGAGCTCTTTCCTAGCACAATTCTGCCAGCGGATCTACTGTGGAACCACCAGAGGGCCTGGCTCTGTGCCTCGCAGCACATCTTCCCCAACCCCAACAGAAAGGAAGCTCTGAAAAGTGACCTGTGGGCACCTGCCAACCTAGGAGGGACGGGTCGGGATTCTCACAGGCCATGGAACTGGGGCTTGGCCAACTGGAGCCGGATCTCCTGGGGACCTTGAGGGCAGCAACATCCAACTAATACTAAAGCAGCTCCAGACCAGGCGCCGTGGCTCAAGCCTGTAATCCCAGCACTTTGGGAGGCCAAGGCAGGCGGATCACAAGGTCAGGAGATTGAGACCATCCTGGCCAACATGGAGAAACCCGGTCTCTACTAAAAATACAAAAATTAGCCGGGCATGGTGGTGCGTGCCTGTAATCCCAGCTACTCAGAAGGCTGAGGCAAGAGAATTGCTTGAACCCAGGAAGCAGAGGTTGCAGTGAGCCGAGATTGTGCCACTGCACTCCTGTGTGGTGACAGAGTGAAACGCCGTCTCAAAAAAAATTAAAATAAAATAAAAATAAAGCAGCTCTAGGCTGGGCGCGGTGGCTCACGCCGGTAATCCCAGCACTTTGGGAGGCCGAGGCGGGCGGATCACGAGGTCAGATTGAGAGCATCCTGGCTAACACGGTGAAACACTGTCTCTACTAAAAAATACAAAAAATTAGCCGGGCTTGGTGGCAGGCGCCTGTAGTCCCAGCTACTCGGGAGGCTGAGGCAGGGGAACGGCGTGAACCCGGGAGGCGGAGCTTGCAGTGAGCAGAGATTGCGCCACTGAACTCCAGCCTGGGTGACAGAGCAAGACTCTGTCTCAAAATAAATAAATAAATAAATAAATAAATAAATAAATAAATAAATAAATAAAGCAAGCAGCTCTAAATCCTCCCTAATCCCGGCCCTGGGCCACATTTTTGACATGCCACCCCCCGCTTTTTTTTTTTTTTAGACAGAGTCTCGCTGTGCTGCCCAGACTAGAGTGCAGTGGCACGATCTCAGCTCACTGCAACCTCCCCCTCCTGGGTTCAAGGGATTCTCCTGCCTCAGCCTCCTGAGTTGCTGGGATCACGGGCGTGCGCCACCACACCTGGCTAGGTTTTGTGTTTTTAGTAGAGACGGGGTTTCACCACGTTGGCCAGGCTGGTCTCGAACTCCTGGCCTCAGGTGGTCCACCTGCATCTTCCTCCCAAAGTGCTGGGATTACAGGCGTGAACCACCGCGTCTGGCAACATGCACCTTTTCATCCAATCCTCACAACACCCAAACAGCAGCACATCACAATAGTCTTAACAGCTCACATGTACCTTGTTAACTCAGTCCCAGGCACCCTCTCAGCACTTCATACACATGAGCGCATTTCTCATCTTCATAATACTTCTGGGAGGGAGGTACTACTATCCCTGCTTTACAGATGAGGAAACGGAGGCACAGAGAGGTCATGTAACTTGCCCGGGTTGCAGAGCTGAGAGCAGGGGGACGGACGGAGGGCCATCTGACACCAGAGCCTGGGCGCTTCCCGCTCCATCACTCTGAAACATTCGCTCGCTTGGGCTGCTGGGAACCTCTCAGTTGCTTTACGGGCTTCTGCCCTTCCTCGGGGTTTCATCCTCTGTTCTTCTCTCCCACTGCACCAAACCCTAGGTCAACTTAGGGCCTTCCATAGCCCCCATGTGCTGAGGATGACCAAGATCGCTGTTCTGAGCCAAGGCACTGCTCACATAAAATTCCCCAATAGCCTCCCACTGGGTTAAGCACAAAGCTAGAGCTTGGACACATGACCCCCACTGTCCTTGCAAAATCAGATTCCAGCTCCAGCCTGTCCCCGCAGGCTCATCTCGAATCCCTCTACACACAAGCTGCAGCCATTTCAGAGCCTTTGAACTCTGCTGAGCTTCTGACGCTCACTGGACCTGGCACTCTCTCCCCCTCTCAGCCTAGCTCTATCCTGCTCGGTTCCAGCATCTCCTCTTCCAAGAAGCCTCCCCTGACCTTCCAGGCTGGGCCTGCTACACCCTCTGTGCTGTGGCTTCTTGTAATTAATCACCTGATTCCAATTTCACCTCCCTCCTGAAGGGAGAATGCTTGGTTCCATGTTGCATCCCCGGGGCCTACTCCAGAGGCTGACTCACGAGGCAGAATACACTGAACAGGAACGGGCTGCAGGGAGGACAGGGCCTTGATGGCAGCCTTAAGACTGAGGCTGACCAGGTCTTAGGAGTTCATGGAAAAGGTCTGGGCTGGAGACAGATGTGGATGGTTAGCACAGACAGTAACAAAAGCCAAGGATGAGAGATCAAGTTTTCACAAGAGGCCGGGCATGGTGGCTCACGCCTGTAACCCCAGCACTTTGGGAGGCCGAGGCAGGGGGATCACTTGAGGTCAGGAGTTCGAGACCAGCCTGGCCAACATGGTAAAACCCTGTCTCTACTAAAAATACAACAATTAGCCAGGTGTGGTGACGGCTGCCTGTAGTCCCAGCTACCCAGGAGGCTGAGGCAGGAGAATCCCTTGAACCTGGGTGGTGGATGTTGCAGTGAGCCGATTGTGCCATTGCATTCCAGACTGGGAGACAGAGTGAGACTCCGTCTCTAAGTAAGTAAATAAATAAGTCTTCACGAGAGAACAGAGGATTGCTGAGGACAGACTCCAGGGAAGCACATCAGAGGGCTGGGAAGAAAATGAGAATTCCACATAGGGGACTAAAGAGGAGCTGGGGTGTAGCTGAAGCAGAAACAGAGGAAAAAGATGGCTGCCAGTGAACCACACCTCCGGCGCTCAGGCCCTGCTGCCGCCTCTCCCATTGGACCTGGGCTGGCTGTGCGACTCATTTTTGACTAAAGTGATGGAAGGGATGCTGCAGCACCTCCAAGCCAAATTCATAAGAAGCTCGTAGGTTCCACTTGGGGCTGTTGAGGCTCCCTTTACTTTTTATTGTTTTTATTTTTTTAGAGATGGGTCTCACTCTGTTGCCCAGGCTGGAGTGCGGTGGCAGCAATCACAGTTCACTGCAACCTCCAACTCGTGGGCTCAAGCAATCATCCTGCCTCAGCCTCCCAAGTAGCTGGGACTCCAGGCACATGCATCACCATGCCTGGCTTTTGTTTTGAGAAGGAGTCTCACTCTGTTCCCTAGGCTGGAGTGCAGTGGCGCAATCTCAGCTCACTGCAACCTCCGCCTCCCAGGTTCAAGTGATTTCCCTGCCTCAGCCTCCTGAGTAGCTGGGATTACAGGTGCATGCCACCATGCCTGGTTAATTTTGTATTTTTAGTAGAGATGGGGTTTCTCCATGTTGATCAGGTTGGTCTCGAACTCCTGACCTCAGGTGATCTGCCTGCCTCGGCCTCCCAAAGTGCTGGGATTACAGGTGTGAGCCACCTCACCCGGGCTGCTTGGCTATTGTTTTTTTGTTTTTTTAATTTCTTGTAGATACGAGGTTTTGCTGTGTTGCCCAGGCTAGTCTCGAACTAACTCTTGGCCTCAAGTGATCCTCCTGCCTCGGGCTCCTGAAGTGCTGGATATACAGTCGTGAGCCACTGTACCTGGCCAGAACTCCTCTTCTAGGGGGAAGTCAACCACAATGTAGGAAGTCAGATTGTCCCAAGTCCACTATGCTGTAAGGAGCCCAAGCTAGCCCCGTGAAGTGGCCATGTGGAGAAAGATGTCCAGGCCGGGCACGGTGGCTCACGCCTGTAATCCCAGCACTTTGGGAGGCCAAGGTGGGTGGATTACTTGAGGTCAGGAGTTTGAGACCAGCCTGGCTAATGTGGTGAAACCCCATTTCTACTAAAAACATAAATAATTAGCTGGGCGTGGTGGCGGGCACCTGTAATCCCAGCTACTTGGGAGGCTGAGGCAGGAAATCACTTGAAGCCAGGAGGCAGAGGTTGCAGTGAGCCGAGATCACACCACTGCACTCCAGCCTGGGCGGCAGAGCGGGACTTTATCTCAAAAAAAGACACAAAGAGGTTGAGCCAGGTCAACCCACAGGACCATGAATATTTAAAAAGTGGTATTCTAGGCCATTACATATGTGGTTGTTGGCGACACAGCAATAGATAACTGAAACAGTTGGTAATTTAACACCTACACAGTCCTCTGGGGTAGACGTTATTGTTCCCATTTATCAGAAGAGGAAGTAAAGCCCAGAGAGAGATGTGACTCAGTAAGGCTCACCTAGCCAGCTGGAGGCAGCAGGTAGGGTTTGACCTGGCAGGTTCATCTGAAACCAGTTTGTTTTCTTTACAGAGCACATGCCTGGCTGCCTGAAGCAGTTGACCAGAACTTGCAGCCAAACCACGTGGTTTTGGTCAAATTCCCTGCGGCCGCGGTGACAGGGCCATTTCCCAGGTGGCTCATCTGGGAGCCTGCTGGAACCCTGGCTTATTCTTTTGTAAAGCAGGCTTCTTCCCACCCCCTGCACCATTGAGACGTGATTCACACATAGTAAAAATGAACAAATCGTAAGTGCAAGGCGTGGCATTTTTTTTTTTTTTTAAACAAAGTCTCGCTGTGTCATCCAGGCTGGAGTGCAATGGCGCGATCTGGGCTCACTACAACCTCCGCCTCCCGGGTTCAAGCAATTTTCCTGCCTCAGCCTCCCGAGTAGCTGGGATTACAGGCATGCGCCAGCAAGCCCGGCTAATTATTTGTATTTTTAGTAGAGACGGGGTTTCGCCATGTTGGCCAGGCTGGTCTCGGAACTCCTGAGTTCAGGTCATCCACCTACCTTGGCCTCCCAAAGTGCTGGGATTATGCCTGGCCGGCATGGTGAATTTTTACATCTGTATGTACCCACGTGACCACAACCCAGACCATGATATAGAACATTTCTGGGATCAGAATGTTCCCTTTTGCCCACTGCTGGTCAATGCCCTCAGCTCAGAGGTACCCGCTCTTCTGACCACTATCACCGTGTTTTGTCTGTTCTTGAACCTCACCTAAATAAAATCGTACAGCCTTACACTCTTCTGTGGCTATTTTTGCTCAACATTGTGTCTGAAAGATTCACCAACATTTTTGTGTGTAGCAGTTGTTTTTAAATTGCTGTATTCTAACGTATGAATCGACCACAATTTATTCATTCTACTACTGACACACAGCTGTATTGTTTATTTGCTGATGTGAGTATTACGGTACTCATCCTTTTGTGCATGTAAGGACTCATTTCTCCTGGATGTGTAAGCAAGAGTGGAAATGCTAGGCCATAGGGTAGATGCGTATTTAACTTGATGAGAAGCTGGTCAGTTTCCTGCCGTGGGTGCAACAAAGCACATTTGCACCAGCAGCGCCTGGGAGCTGCTCTTCTCCGTATCCCCACCAGCACTTGGTACTGGCAGACCTTCTCCTCTGAGCTATTCTGATAGTGGGGCAGTGCGATTTCACGGTTTTTAATGAGATGTGGAGCACCTTTCAGAGGCTGGCCTGGTTTTTGTAGCTGCCCTAGGCAGCCCTGAGGAGGGATGGGAGGGGGGTTGGTGAAGAGGATGTTCCTGCAACCCAGGTGTGAGACGGGGGAGCCCTGAGTTAGGTTGAGGCTAGAAGGGAGGCAGAGGATGGGATGGAGAGCTGTCTTGGGGGGACGGTGGGATGGTGAGGATGGACGGCAGAGCTGCCAGTGGCAGGCATCCCATCTCCCAGTGGCTAGGAACACTCCTGATCTCCTAAGGCAAGCAGTGCCGAGACAGGGCAGCACAAGGCCGGAGGATTTGATGGCACGGGGTCCTGGCTCTTTCTTCTTTGCCATTTTTAGCTATTGATGAGGGAAGATGGCGACAGGGCCAGGAGAGAGGTGTCCTCTCCTTGCGCCACCCTCCCCCTTTTTTTTTGAGATGGAGTTTCGCCCTTGTCACACAGGCTGGAGTGCAGTGGCGCGATCTTGGCTCACTGCAACTTCTGCCTCCTGGGTTCAAGTGATTCTCCTGCCTCAGCCTCCTGAGTAGCTGGGATTACAGGTGCTTGGCACCACGTCTGGCTAATTTTTTGTATTTTTAGTAGAGACGGGGTTTCACCATGTTGGCCAGGCTGGTCTCGAACTCCTGACCTCAAGTGATCCCCCTGCCTTGGCCTCCCAAAGTGCTAGGATAATAGGCAAGAGCCACCGCGCCCGGCCTCTTGTGCCTCTTTTTAAGACCAAGGACACCCTTCCCAGATGACCTCCTCCACCCCACTCCCAAGACTTCCCCTCGCATTTCACTGGCTTGCGTGAACTGCAAGCCTTGTCCATTCCTCAACCAATCCCTGGCAAGGGAATGGGAAACAATCTCTTCCCACTCCACGAGGTCACTCTCCTGTGGCTCTTTGCCTGAACACACCAGGGACGTTTGCTCCTGCTGGTGCCTCCACGTGGGAAGGCCCTTCCTGATTCTTCCATCTGGAAGAGTCATCTTTCAAAGCTGCCTCCAAAGGCAGTCTTCTACCTGCAGGCTGGGTCAGGGTCTCCTCTGGGTTCTCACAGCCTTCCAGGACCCCTACTGGATGTGGCCTGTTTCTGTGGCTCAGAAATGGGACCTCTTCCCAGCCCCATGCAACCATAATCAGCACAGCCAGCCATGGTGAGGACTCCCAGCCCGCTGGACCTGTGCCTGGCAGCCACAACCCTGCCCTCACCCCTGCCCAGGGCTGGGCATGACCTCTGGGAAAAGCCTCAGGAGAGGACTGGGACTGAAAGAAAAACACCCATTTGATGGAGAAGCAAACTGAGGCTCAGTGAGGGGTGTGACTTGCCCAAGGTCATGGTCAGGGCTAGTCTTAGCCCCAGGCCTCTCTCTCAGGCCTGGGCCCTGGGCCCTACTCCAGGGCTCCTCAGACTTTGAAGGTCACGTGAATCACTGGGGCACCCTGTTAAAATGCAGACGCTGGTTCAGTAGGTTGGGGTGGGACTGGACTTGCTATTTCCCACATGCTTCCGCTGCCACTAGCCTGCAAGCCACACTGGGGGCGTCACAGTCTGTACTAAGGGAGACCTTGGATTTTCAGCCCCACCCTCAGAAGCCTAGAGGCCGCTGCTTTAGGAAGGGTGGGGTGTGGGTAGGGTGTGAGTGGGGAAGCCACTTCAAGAAACCCCAATCTCCATTCCTGTTCTGCCAGCCATCTAGGACACCAGAGCTGCTGGAACGTTTTATTAAGTTAAGAGGTTCAGGGAGCAGAAGAGAAACACCTTTTGGGTGGCTCTGGCGGTTCTGCACCCAGCACAGCCTCGAAGGAGGCTGTGGGGCCATGGAGGCCAGCTGCTAGCTCCCTCTGTCCTGAGCCCCATGGTACGGGTCCAAATGGGGCAGGAAGTGTTAGTAGGAGGTAGGGCAGGAAGAGGGTGGCAGGCTCCCGCCTCTCCCCTGTAGAGACACCCCGCCATGGCTGCTGCCTGGGCCTCCGCCAGACCTCTGGGCCAGGGCCACCAGCTCAGAAGCCCAAGCAGAGGGTGGCTGGAGACAGAGGGGGACCAGGGTTGGAGGCACACAGCCACCAGGAATTGCTTTTTTTTTTTTTTTTTAAAGTATAAAGTGTTTTGGAAAAAAAGGAAAAAAATCTATATAAAAATCTCTTCACATATAAAATCCTGAAGAAGGTGCAAGGTGAGACCCAGTGCGAGGGGCGCGCTCAGATATGCAGTGTGTGTGTGTGTGTGTGTATCCGTGTGTACATGTGTGCACGTGTGTGCGTATGTGTCTGTGTGTCTGTGTGTGTGTGTGTGTGTGTGTGTGTGTGTGTGGTGGGTGCAAGTGCACGTGTGGCCCACAGAGGGTGGGGAGAAAGCTTGGCTTTTTACTTCCATCCAGGAGGGAAGGAGGGCGGCTGGTCCTCCAGCCTGGAGGGTCTGCAGCTGGGCGGGACCTGAAAGACAAGGTGCGGCAGGGCTGAGGCCTGGGCTGAGGGGCTGCGAGGCCACCCCAAGGCCAAGCAAGGGTGCTGAGTGGGTCCTTCCACCACCTCTCAGCCCCTAAGGTACAGCCAGATCCGCTCTTCCTGGCTCCTTCCCAAGCAGCTCAGCCATAGGGTGGCCTCTCCTGCATGCCATAGGAAGTCCATGAGGACTTATCAGAAAGAGGATGCTCCAGGTAGATGTGGCGTTGAAAAAGCAAAAATAAGAACACTTTGGCCAGGTGCAGCGGCTCACACCTGTAATCTCAGAATTTTGGGAGGCTGAGGCAGGTGTATTGCTTGAGCCCAGGAGTTCGAGACCAGCCTGGGAAATCACGGCGAAACCCCACCTATACAAAAAGTGCAAAAATTATCTGGGCATGGTGGTGAGGGCCTGTGGTCCCAGCTACTCAGAAGGCTGAGGTGGGAGGATCCCTTGAGCCTAGGAGGTTGAGGCTGCAGTGAGCCGTGATTGCACCACTGCACTCCAGCCTGGGTGTCAGAGTAAGACCTTTCTCAAAGCAACCAAAACCAACCAACCAACCAACCAACCAACCAACCAACCAACCAACCAACCACTTTGAGCCCTGCTAAGTCAAGAAGGAGTGTTAAGACTAACTGGGATAGAAGCCCGGCCTCAGCGTGCGATGTGTGTGTGTGAAGCTCAGTGGAGATTCACTGTGGGGGTCAGGGATGTGCACGCTGCATTTGCCTCCAGCCCCAAGAAGGGGGGTGCACTGAGTAGGCTGTGGCTCTGCACTGTGCCGCCCAGCTCTGGAGGAACAGGCTTAAGCTGATGAAGCAGCCTGTGGCCCGGGTCTGATGGGATCTCTGCAACAACCCCGTGTTGCTGGTTTCATTGTCCTTTTTACAGAACGGGAATTGGAGGCCAGAAGAAGGAAGTGGCCTGGCTGGGGTGGTCCAGGGAGTCCCGGGTGTGGGAGAGCCTCAGCCCCTGCCCACCCTGCAGGGCACACGCCTCGGCATCCACCTCTACTCAGCCAGGCTGTTGCGCATCGACTCCTTCTCCTGGAGGGCGGCCATGGCAAGACGCAGGTGCTCCTTCAGCTGCTCGATCTCCCGCTCAGACCGTGTCTTGATGTGGCTCAGCTCCACATAGACGTCCTGGTACTTTCCCGAGGTGAAGCGCTTGTCCTGGGGGGCAGGAGGCAGGTATGAGGGCATGAAGTCTCTCCCTCCAGCCCTGCCAACCGGGCACATGGGCAGCACCAGCAGCCAGACCTCCCCGCAGATACCTCGCTTCATCCCTCCAGGTGGCTCCCCAAGATGGCCGTGGGTTCTGGGCTTACCCCTCCCACCTCCCTGGTACCACCCAGGGACACAGGCGTCATTGTCATCCTCATCCTGTTTCGGGGGAGAAGATTTTGACCAAGACCGCAGGGCAGTGAGTGGCTGGGATGAGAACCAGGTCAGCCTGGCTGGGTGCTCGGGCCCTTCCTGTGAGTTCACGCCACCTGTTCTTCAAGTGCGGTAAACACGGTCTGGCTCACGTGCACTTACAGAGCCACCAACATGTCCACTTCCTGCCCCAAACTGACAGAGCGCACCAGGCAGTGACATAGCAGCCAAGGGTGGGCCAGGCGGGCTGCAGACTCAGACCTGGGCTGAACCCTGACCCACCCAACTCCTAGCAACGTGGTTATTCTCACTGGAGTGCAAGCTCCCCACAGCAGAGATTTGGGGTTATTTTGTTCACATCTGTCTTCCCAGCACCTAGCACAGTGCCCAGGATATAGTAGGTGCTCAATAATAATCAATAAATTAAATAATGCTAAATAAACAGAAGCCAAGTACAGCCTTGGGGAAGTCACTTCCCCTTTCTTAGTCTCAGTTTCCCTGTCAGTGAATGGGGATGATGACACCTACATGGGAGAAGCACAGGAGAGCCTGAGGAAGGATGAAGCGAGTGGAGGGCTTGGCACAGAGCAGGTGCTCACAGGATGGCATCCAGATGGCTCCAGAGTCCCCGACGGCCCCCAGCCCAGCGGAAGGACCTACCTTCTGCATCATCTGGAGCTCGTCCCGGAGGCACTGCACCTCCTTCTTTAGGTACTGGAGTTCGTTTTCTTTTACGCGAAGCAGCACCTGGGGATATAGGTGCTGGACTGACCCAGGGCCAGAAGCCAGAGCTACCCTGGCCCATAGTGCCCTGCAGCCCGGGTTCTCTCTGCCTCAGGCCCCTAGAATGCAGCCCCTATCTGCACAAAAACCCTCTACATCCTGGAGGCGGACTCCTCCAGGAAGCCCTCTCCGATTCCCCTGCTTTGCCTTCCCTTACTCTCACCCCTGTCCAGCCCGTGTGAGTGGATATCTCACGGTCAAGTCTGCTGCAGCCCTCATGCAGCACCAGGCTCTCACCTCGGGAGTGAGATGGATGAAAAGAAGCCCTACATAAACCTGAGCAGGCTGAACCACTCCACAAGGCACCTCATTAACCCCTCCCCAACCCCGAGGGCTAGGTGCTGCTGACTTGACCAAGGAGGAAACAAGTTCAGCCAGGACTGGGGAGGCTTAAAAGCTCAGACTGGAGCCAGACTGCCTGGTTCAAATCCCAGTCCAGCTATAAAAGCTTTGGTAAGGTACTTGACCTTCCTGTGCCTCAGTTTCCTCATCTGTAAATGGGGACAGTCATAGTAGCTAATGTATGGAGCTGTCAGGAAGATTAGATGAGTTAACAGACAAAAAGGGCTTCCAGAATTTCTAGGTACAGAGTGAGCCTCACCTAAGTGTTTGTTGAAGAAATAAAATATTGGGGCCAGGAGCGGTGGCTCACGCCTGTAATCCCAGCACTTTGGGAGGCAGAGGCGGGCGGATCACGAGGTCAGGAGATTGGGACCATCCCGGCTAACATGGTGAAACCCCGTCTCTACTAAAAATACAAAAAATTAGCCAGGTGTGGTGGCGGGTGCCTGTAGTCCCAGCTACTCGGGAGGCTGAGGCAGGAGAATGGCATGAACCCGAGAGGCGGAGCTTGCAGTGAGCCGAGATGGTGCCACTGCACTCCAGCCTGGGTGACAGAGTGACTCCGTCTCAAAAAAAAAAAGAGAAATAAAATATCGGCTGGGCACGGTGGCTCACGCCTGTAATCCCAACACTTTGAGAGGCCGAAGTGGGCGGATCACCTGAGGTTGGGAGTTCGAGAAGAGCCTGACCAACATGGAAAAACCCTGTCTCTACTAAAAATACAAAATTATCCAGGCGAGGTGGCACATGCCTGTAATCCTAGCTACTTGGGAGGCTGAGGCAGGATAATCGCTTTTTTTTTTTAATATTTTTTTTTTTTTTGAGACGGAGTCTCGCTCTGTCACCCAGGCTGGAGTGCAGTGGCACGATCTCGGCTCACTGCACGCTCCGCCTCCCAGGTTCATGCCATTCTCCTGCCTCAGCCTCCGGAGTGGCTGGGACTACAGGCACCCGCCACCGCGCCCGCCACCACGCCCGGGTAATTTTTTTGTATTTTTAGTAGAGACGGGGTTTCACTGTGTTAGCCAGGATGGTCTTGATCTCCTACCTCGTGATCTGCCCGCCTCGGCCTCCCAAAGTGCTGGGATTACAGGCGTGAGCCACCGCGCCCGGCCAGGAGAATCGTTTTAACCTGGGAGGCGGAGGTTGTGGTGAGCCGAGATCGCGCCACTGCACTGTAGCCTGGGCAACAACAGCAAAACTCTGTCTCAAAAAAAAAAAAAAAGTAAAGAAATAAATACTAAGGCCGGGTGTGGTGGCTCATGCTGTAATCCCAGCACTTTGTGAGGCCAAGGTAGGCAGATCACTTGAGGTCCGGAGTTCGAGACCAGCCTGGCCAACATAGTGAAACTTGTCTCTACCAAAAATATAAAAAATTAGCTGGGTGTGGTGGTGCAGGCCTGTAATCCTAGCTACTTGGGAGGCTGAGGCAGGAGAATCGCTTGAACCAGGGAGGCAGAGGTTGCAGTGAACTGAGATCGTGTCACTACACTCCAGCCTGGGTGACAGAGAGAGACTCTGTCTCAAAAAAAGAAAGAAAGAAAAAGAAAGAAAATACTACAGTGATACTGGCATCACACACATACACACATATTTTCTTACCCCAATATTTCCCAGTAAGGAAGGTGCTGGTGCCATTTTACAGATGAGCTACTGGGACTCAGAAAAGTGGAGTGATTTGCTATGGTACACGGCAGGTAGGTGACACAATGCAGGTGGGAGGGCAGAATGCTGGCTACTGGATGCACAGTAGGTGTTCTAGCCTAGTCAGGCTGGCCCAGCCACTGGGAGACTTGGCTTTCCTGCCACAGGTGATACCCAGCCTATGGCGGGGGTGCCCCATAGCCCCGGGCCCCGAGAACCACTGGGCTGCCTGGTGCTAGTGAGGACACTCACCTCTAGCTCGCAGGAACTCCGCTCGTTGCTGCGCCCGCAGCCATTGCCCATGCCCTGCGAGGCAATGAAGCCGCGCAGCTGGTCTATCTCCTCTGACAGGCGGCCATGCAGCTCCTGGGAGAGGCACGGTGGTCAGGGGAGGGGTGCCGGGACCCACCCGTGTCCCCCCAACCTGGGGCCAGGCCCACCTGGTTGTGGCGCAGCAGCTCCTGGCCCTCCTGCTGGCAGCGGCGCAGCGTGTGCTCGCGCTCCTCAGCCTGCCGCATGAGTGCCCCAATCTCCAGGCACTTCTGCGAGTACTGCTCCGATAGCACCTGCAGCTCTCGCTTCAGTGCCTCCACATCTGACCTGCCCCAGAGGAGGAGCAGAGGAGAGCATAGGTTGTCTTGCTCCTGCCAAGCCTGGAGTCCAGTCAGGTAGACTTAAAGCATCCCAGGACTCTGGGGTTCCCTCTCTAGGTTTGCCTTTAGCCTGCTGTGGGGCTGTGAACCAGTGACAGCTTCTCTGGGCTACAGGTGTTTACCCTAAGTGAGGGTGGCTTGGAGGAGCCCATCTTTTTTTTTTTTTTTAGATGGAGTCTTGCTCTCACTCTTGTTGCCCAGGCTGGAATACAATGGCACAATCTTGGCTCACTGCAACCTCTGCCTCCTGGGTTCAAGCGATTCTCCTGCCTCAGCCTCCCAAGTAGCTAGAATTGCAGGCTCCCGCCACCACATTCAGCTAGCTTGTATTTTTAGTAGAGATGGGGTTTCACCATGTTGGCCAGGCTAGTCTCGAACTCCTGATCCCAGCCTCCCAAAGTGCTGGGATTACAGGCATGAGCCAATGTGCCCGGCTGGAGGGGCCCATCTTTAAAGTTAAAGCCCCTGAAACCTCAACATTCCAAAACTGTGCTCTGGGGCAGGGAGAGGCCTAGTGGTCAACAGTGACACTGCAGCCCAGCTCCAGGGGAGACTAAAGGGGTGAAGAGGTGGGTGGAGGCTGGGACCAGCCAAGACAAGAAGCTGCCTGAAGGACTGTCTGTGAGGACTGGCATGGGGTCTGCCTGAGGACCTTCTGCTTCTGTTTCTTGCATCCATGAGACTGGAGCAGGAATCTCAGCTAGGGGCAAACTGATGTGTCCGCTGCCAAGGGGCCTCAGCAAAGTTCCTCAACCCATAACCATCAGGGTGGGCAGTTGGGCCCCGGCATCATCTTACTGGTGCTGCTTCCGGAGGCCATCCGGGCCCTGCTGGAGACTCCGTGTTTTGCTCAGCTCTCGGCTCAGCTCTTCCTGGTAGGCCTTCTTCATGGCTTCAATGGCTGGAAGCAGGGCAGAGAGGCACAAGAGAGACTGGAGGGGGGTCAGCAGCACCAAGTGCCACCAGCTCTGAGACGCCACATGTACTGGTGGAGTACTATGTGGACTCCACATAGTACTATGCAAGTACTATGGACTTGGACCAAGGAGTGCTATGCAAAGAGCACCGAACCAGGAGTCTAGAGTAGCCCAGGTTGTGTCATAAACTGAGTGGCTTGGGGTAAGCTCTCAACCTCTCTCAGCCCATCTATTAAGGGAAGATAATCCTGTTGGATGGACCCTACTGGGGAGACAGCTCAGGGTCTGACCATTGGTACCTCCTGTTCTAGTGATTTCCAGGTAGGACCCCACCTAGTACACCCCCCCTGCAGACTCTGAGGGCTCTCAAACAAGGCCTATCTGCTTTGACCAGCCTCGTGGTCAAGAGCTCAGGCTCCACAGTCAGCATAAACCGATGTGACTTTGCACAGGTGACTTAACCCCTTGTGCCTCAGATCCCTTATCTGGAAAACAGGGATCGATAACAACAGTACCTTTCCTCCATGGGGTTATTGGAAGGTGTGTGAAGAATTTAGAACAAAGCATGGCTCAGAGTAAATGCCCCAACATTAGCTCCTGCTGGCTTTATTCTCAGATTGTGAGCTCCTAAGGACTGAGACCGAGGCTTTTTTTTTCCCACTCAGGGCCACCCATGGTTTTACCCACAATTCTAAAATCCGAAACTTCTGAACATTGAAAGTTTCTCTCCTTTTTTTCTTTCTTTTTTTTTTTGAGACAGAGTCTCACTCTGTCACCCAGGAGACGGAGTCTCACTCTGTCACCCAGGAGACGGAGTCTCACTCTGTCACCCAGGCTGGAGTGCAGTGGCACAATCTTGGTTCACTACAACCTTTGCCGCCCACTTTCAAGCGATTCTCCTGCCTCAGCCTCCTGAGTAGCTGGGATTACACGCGCCTGCCACCGCGCATGGCTAATTTTTGTATTCATAGTAGAGACAGGGTTTCACCATCTTGGCCAGGCTGGTCTTGAACTCCTGACCTCGTGATGCACCTGCCTCGGCCTCCCAAAGTGCTGGGATTACAGGCATGAGCCACAGTGCCTGGCCTTTTTTTTTTTTGATGGAGTCTTACTCTGTCATCCAGGCTGGAGTGCAGTGGTGCAATCTCAGCTCACTGCAGCCTCTGTCTCCTGGGTTCAAGAGATTCTCCTGCCTTAGCCTCCTGAGTAGCTGGGATTGCAGCTGCCCACCATCACGCCCAGCTAATTTTTGTATTTTTAGTAGAGATGGGGTTTCACCATGTTGGCCAGGCTAGTCTCGAACTCCTGACCTCAGGTGATCTGCCCGCCTCAGCCTCCCAAAGTGCTGGGATTACAGGCATGAGCCACTGCACCGGGCCTCTGGTAAATCTTTTGGTGGCAATCCCCACCCTGAACGGACATGAGGCTATTTATGGTCTTTATTATTCCACTTAAGTGTGATTTTTATCCATTTCACAGCAGAAACCTTAGTGCCAGATTACAGGGCGAAGTCCAGACTCTGCTGAGGGGGAAGGGGTCTCTAACACACGCGGCTGCAAAGGCGATCTTCCTGAAATGCAGAGCACACTGGCCCCAAGGCTGGGTTCGAGTGCATGAGCACTTGGCACAGCACTGGCAGGTTGTGAGCTTCAGATCATGTGACATTGGCCAGCATTTCTATTGTTCTGCAAACCCCTAGTGATGCCTAGGAATGTGCCAGGCACACAGCAGGTGTGCGGTGGCAGGAGGGGAGGGAATTGTCCAGGATGAAGGGTGCTCCTGTGGGAAACATGTGGGGCCCAGTGCCTGGCACACAGCTGGCATGGACAATGCTCACACCTTCCCCTGCTCTCCCCAGGGTCTGGCCCATGTGCCCAGGGAGGAGGCACTCCTATGAGGACAGGGGATGCAGCTGATCAGCCTCTCCCCCACGCACGTGGGTAGCATGTGCCTTTAGGCAGACTCTATGGTGGCTGCAGGCCCCTGAGCAGGAAGAGTCACCACCTATGGTAGTGGTGGTGTTGGGGGTGGGGAGGGTATCTTTTACTGCCTCAGTTTCCCTTTTTAAGTAGGGCTACAGGCCAGTTCTTGGAGCTTCTAACACCTGCTGACCCTTTACCCCAAATGTGGCACTGAGACCCCTACATCTTATTTGATAAAATCCTCCCCAGTTTGGCTAGGAGGAACCTCAGCACAGAGGCTCAGAGCCCAGCCCACTGTGCCCCCCCCAGGGTCCATACCTGAGGCCGTGGCTGCCGTCTCCTCAGCCAGGAGCCACTCCTTCTCCTGCTGCAGGCGCTGCAGCTCCCGCTCGTGGTGCCGCTGCAGCTCCTCCATCACCTGCTGGTGCGAGGACTCCATCTCTGCCAGGCTGCGCTCACATGCCTCCTGTGGGCCGGACGCCAGGGTGTCACAGGCTGCCCCGTTCCTCTGGACAGCGGCCCTTCCCCAGCCTCCAGAGGAGAAGGCTCAGGGGCAGGTACACCACCTCCTCCTGGGTCCCAGCACCTCCAGTCTGCACCTGCTCCTGCTCCCACCCCCACCCCACGGCTCCTCATTCACAAACCTCACCTTGTCGCTCCTGCCTCAAGCCCTCCAGGGATTCCTCGTCCTACAGAGTCAAGTCCCCGTTCCCATGGCTGACCTTTACGTTCTCATCCCTGGCCTTTCTCTGCCAAGCAATCTCACAGTTACGGTTGCAGCACGTTCACACCTCTGAGCTTTAGCTATTCCCACTGCCTGGAATTTTGTGGTTTTTTTGTTTTTGTTTTTGTTTTTGAGACAGAGTTTTGTTCTGTCACCCAGGCTGGAGTGCAGTGGAGCAATCTCAGCTCACTGCAACCTCCACCTCTGGGTTCAAGTGATTCTTCTGCCTCAGCCTCGTGAGTAGCTGGGACTACAGGTGCCCACCACCACGCCCAGCTAATTTTTGTATTTTTAGTAGAGATGGGGTTTCACTGTGTTAGCCAGGATGGTCTTGAACTTCTGACCTTGTGATCTGCCGGCCTTGGCCTCCCAAAATGCTGGGATTACAGGCATGAGCCACTGTGCCCGGCCTGGAATGTTTTTTTGGCAACTTTACCTCCCTGGGTAATTTACTGACCTGCAGCCCAGTTTAAATGTCTCTCCTAGCTCTGTCTCTGGGCAGCCTCTCCCCTGCCTCAAAAGGTTCTACCTCTGCCAAACCATAAATTCCCTGAAGACTGAGAACATCTGACTGGCGCAGTCCCCAGGGTCTAGGCCAGGGCCTGACATGTGGCAGGTGCTCAGTAAATGAGCTGAAACTGATGATGTAATACAAAATAATGCTTAGTAGACAAGATGGGCAAGTATCTCAGACTAATAATACCCACTGCTGGGAGTGTCCGCCACAACGGTGTGTGTTGGGGGTGGTCCGGTGGCATCATCACATTTTGCGACCCCACTGGTTGACCTAGTAGGTTCACTCCCAGAAATGATCCCACAGAAAGTCGTATGTGTACAGAGACTTTTGGAACAAGGGTATTCCCTACAGCCAGGTTGGTAACAGATGAAAACTGGAAACAATCTAAATCCCTATCAGGGGAACTCTTGAATAAATGATGGGATCGAGCTTGACAATGGGACACAGGCAGCTGCTAGACAGAGTTTTTGTGTGGATGCTGTGGAAAAAGATCCCAAAATGAGGTGGTGAAAGTTGGCTTCTGACATACACGTGGTATGATCTCACTCACGGGAACAAACGTGCAGACCTGTCCGTCCCAGTGAATGGAAAACACAGAAAACACAGAAAAGGTAGGGAGGATATTGTAGGGGGCAGAATGATAGCCCCTCAAAGTTGTCCACATCTTACTCCCAGGATCTGTGACTACATCATGTTACATGGCAAAGAGGAATTCAGGCTGCAGAGGGAATCAAGGTTGCTAATCAGCTGACCTTAAAATCGGGAGATTATCCCAGATTATCCCTCAAGCCCAGTGTAATCACAAGGGTCCTTAAAAGTGGACGAAGGGGGCAGAAGCGAAGAGTTCAAGGGAGGTGTGACCAGGAAGGGATGGTCAGAGTGACGTGGCAGGAGAAGGACTCGACTTCCCCTCTGCAGGCTTTGAAGATGAAGGAAGGGGCCGAGAGCCAAGGGACGCGGACGGCCACCAGAAGCTGGAGCAGGCAAGGGATACAACGGGTGCCTGCAGAGGAACACAGTCCTGCCCACGCCTTGGCTGCAGCGCGGCAAGACTCGCGTTAGACTTCTCGCCTACAGAAGCGTGAGGTAATACATGTGCATTATTTAGGTAGCTGTGGTTACAGGTTACAGCTGCCACCAGAAACTGATAGGCAGGCGGCAGCAGCCACCGACAGGACCCTGGGGTGGCAGCTGGCAGCAGAAGGAGTGTGAGGGTGTTGATTTCCAGCCTTTCAATTTGTTTAAATTATTTTTGAAAATGTAAACATTTCTTTTATATAATTAAAAAAATGTTTAAGGTCATTAAAAAGGGAAGGGGAAGAAGAGCCAGGGAAGAAACTAAGGCACAGAGGACCAGATGAGGGACTGTCTCCCCCACGCAAAGGCCACCTCCCCGCCTCTCCAGCAGCCACACCTGGGGACGATTTGATGGAGGAGCGAGGGCCAAGAGCTTCATGTGGCGACAGGGGTGTCTGTCCCCTGGCTTCTGTTCCTGCCCTCTATGTGTCTCCTGGCTTAGGACAACAGAACATGACTTTGGACCTCAGAGGCGGTCTTCACCCTGGCTGCGCCTTGGAGTGAACCTGAACAAACCCCTCGCCCCCTCTGAGCTTCAGTCTTGGCATCCGTAAAGCAGGCCTCACAGGACCAGCCCCCGAGGCTCCCTGGGCACGGGAACCCTGTGCACAGAGGGAGACGGTACGCCAGCATCCACCAGTGGGGAGCCCAGCAATGTGGGGGTGGGCACTGCTCTTCTGAAGAGGGCCAGACCAGGCAGGCAGACCCAGCAGCTCAGGGGTGCAGGGGCTGACATCAGGAGGTGGGACTCAGCTGACGAACAGGGGCTCCTAGGGCCTCTCTCACCTACCTTCCTGAGTGGCCCAAGGTGTCCTGATCCTGGCTGCCACCTTTGACATGGACATCAAAGTAGATAAAGAAATGCCTCTGTCCCCACTGCAATAGTGGGGAAAGGTTCTCTTTACCAGATGTCCAGTGGGTGAAGCCCCAGACCACCCGACAGCTGTCGTGCAGCAGCAAGCCCCCAACCCCTGAAGGAAGGGCACCCACTCAGCCCGAGATACCAGCTGGGGAATCCCTCCCAGCTGTCACTCCTCCAGGTCCACCGAATTTCCATCCGCCTCCTCCCGTGCCTGAGGGCGATACAGATGACTCAGCTCTTCTTCTCTGCTGCCTTCCGCATCTGGGGTCACTCCTCCACCTGCCTGGTCTTCAGCTCTGCTCCCCAGTTATTCCCTTCTCCCCTCCCACCTGCTCCCCGTGCCCATCCCACCCTAACGGGACCAAACACTGACAGACTTTGGTGCACCCAATGGGGCACCTGGGGACCAGACCGCCTGAACTCCAGACACAGGTCTGCCTATAGCTCAAAGGTCACACCCTTCTGTGGGCCTCAGTTTTGCCACCAGTAAGCTGAGAAGCCAAAGCAGTGCCTTTTAAACGTCATTGTAGTGGCAGAGCCTTTATCTAAAGGAAATCTAAAGCTGGCTCTATGAGTAAAACGGACAAAGGTGGGCCAGTGCAGTGGTCACACTTGTACCCCCAGCACTTTGGGAGGCCAACATGAGAGAAGCACTTGAGCCCAGGAGTTCAAGACCAGCCCAGGGAACATAGTGAGACCTTGTCTCTACAAAAAAATTTTTTTAATTAGCCAGGCATGGTGGTGTAGCCTGTGGTTCCTACTCAGGAGGCTGAGGTGGGAAGACTGCTTGAGCCCTAGAGTTCGAGGCTGCAGTGAGCCTCTGTGCCACTGCACTGTAGCCTGGGTGACAGTAAAAGACCTCATCTCTAAAAAAATTAAAATAAAATAAAATGGAGGAAGATGAAGCCACTCTGATTATAGGTGGGTACGAATGGGTCCCAGCCCCACCCACCCAGAAAGCAGCCCCTGCAGCTTCTTAGAGCAGAGCACGCAGGCAGAAGCCCCCTGGCTGGGGGCCTCGGAGGCCCTCCCACCTGCCTCAGCTGGGGTGTTGGGCCCCCAGCTCCCTTCTCTGCCTCAGGGTGGGAGGCTACAGGGCACAACACTGGCTCCTCCCCTGCCCCTCCCCAGGACAAGGTAAGCCCCCAGCCTCACCCTCTGCGTCCCACCCCAATTCCCCTGCCTGCTCCTCTATCAGTGGAAACTCCATCCACTACTTGGCCCCAGGACGGTCTCCGGGCTTCCCTGGAGCAGCAGCCCCAGCCTCAGGGCCCCCAAAGGCCCCTCTGCCTTCCGTAGATCTGGTCATCCAGTCCCAAATTCTCCTCCCTCCAGACCCTTGACATTCACCCTCCTTCAGCCATTTCCTAATGCCTTACACCTGGCCCTCTCCCAAGCCCCCTCCACTCCAACATCACTTTCCTGATGTCACTGTCTGACCCCAAACCTCCAAAAGTCTGTGGAATGAGCTTCTCTTTTTTTGTTTGTTTTGTTTTTTGTTGCTGTTTTTAGATAGAGTCTCACTGTCACCCAGGCTGCAGTGGCAGGATCTCAGCTCACTGCAACCTCTGCCTCCCGGGTTCAAGCGATTCTCCTGCCTCAGCCACTGGAGTAGCTGGGATTATAGGCGCCCACCACCATGCCCTGCTAAGTTTTGTATTTTTTTTTTTTAGTAGAGACAGGGTTTCACCACTCTGGCCACACTGGCCTCGAACATTTGACCTCAAGTGATCCACCCACCTCACCTCCCAAAGTGCTGAGATACAGGCATTAGCCACCGTACCAGGCCAGAGCTTCTAACTATTAGCTCAGCACTGGAGGCATCCACAATACGCACCAACCAGCCTTCCTTCTCATGCCCCAGCCAATGCCTTCCTGAGAGCCCCCTCATGACGTGACCTCCCCTTGGAAATTTTTAGAAGGCTCCTCCTGCCTAGGGCCTAGATCTCAGCCTTCTTTTCTTTTCTTTCTTTTTTTTTTTTTTTGAGATGGAGTCTTACTCTGTCGCCAGGCTGGAGTGCCGTGGCGCAATCTCGGCTCACTGCAACCTGCGCCTCCTGGGTTCCAGTGGGTCCCCTGCCTCAGCCTCCCAAGTAGCTGGGACTACAGTGCGCACCACCACGCCCGGCTATTTTTTGTATTTTATTAGAGACGGAGTTTCACCATGTTGGCCAGGTTAGTCTCGTTCTCCTGACCTCGTGATCTGCCCACTTCGGCCTCCCCAAAGTGCTGGGATTACAGGCGTGAGCCACTGCGCCTGGCCCCTTCTTTTCTACTTTAGATAATGGTGTGATAACTACAGACAGCTGATTGTCAAATTTTTAGTAATTCTGTGATGTAGTTGTTAAGCACAGCCATTAACAATTAAATTTATATACTTTAAATTAACTATGTTAAAGACAAGGCAATAGATACTCAAATTTATTACTTCCTAAATATTTCACTGTGTTGTATTATGCGTGCTCTTGGGGCCAATCACATCTACTGTATCCGCATGGTGGAAATCCTAGTGAATAGTGTGACATCTCTTCCCAACTCTCTGTCCAGGGACTTTGTGCTGGTAATGCAGCATTGGCCACAGCGGGAGTATTTACACTGCAGAATTGGTAAACATTACACATCAGGGCTTGATTTATTGTTTTGTTGATTGTCTAGACTTAAGCAAGTGATAAGAAAATGCTAATAATGCAGATTAAACTTAGAAGTATCTCACATCTATAACCATTACATTGTAAATAGAACAAAAAATTGCAAAAATATTCTTAATAGAATATTCTCAAATATTCTCAATAGAAAACTACTATCCGATCTAGCAAAGAAGTAGCTGACAACATGGACCAGTAAAGTTTCGACAAATGTCTTCTCATCTTACTCATTACCATAAACAAAAATGTCAACCAGCACACGTTAGAACAACCCCCTTTGTTAATCAGTTGTGGATACAAGAGTATGGAAAAAATCACTGAAAGCATTCTGAGAAAAATCCATTTGCTGTACGGAATTCACAATAAAATTATATATTTTTATTTGTAAATTGTGTACTAAGCATTGTTTTTATTGGTAAAATTTATAATAAACTTATATATGTGTACACACACACGTTTTTTCTAGAGAGTTAGTTTGTCCTAGTTGTGACAACCAGAAGTATTCCCAGACACAGCCAAATGTCCCCAAGGGGGACAAAATGGACCCCGTTGAGAACCGCTGTCCTAGGCGGACGGTGCATTCTCTGAGGGCTACTGGAGGCTCCCCTGTCCTGCAGACCTCCTTGTGTGGGGCCTTGGCCCAGTGGGCCTCGGCAGGATTTCCCTGTGTTCAGGGAGTGACTCTCGGGGCCACTAGCCCCCCACTTCCCCGGGGCAAGGGTCCAAGTGCAGAGTGTCACACGGGGACTCACACACAGGCTCTGCAGTCAGCCGGACCCTCGCTCAAATCCCACCTTTGAGACCTGCAGGCGGGGTGACCTTGGGCAAGTCACATAACCTCTCAGAGCTCAGTGGCCTTGTCTGTAAAACGGGCACAGTGATCACGCCCACCAGCTGTGGGGAGAGTAAATGAGATGACGCATGTCAAATGCCCCACACAGGTTCCAGCACACACAGGAAGGGCTCCCAAAATCTCAGCTGTTTCCTGATAACACGGCAAGCAGAAATCTGCCCCCTCCCCCTGAAAAACAGCCCCCCGGCCTTACCTGTGAGATGTAGCCCGGGGGGATGTGGCCATCCTCCTGGGATCTCAGTGCACTCTGAGGAGCCTCCCCTTGGAGACGCCACGCCTCCAGCTGGGCCCGAAGAGCCTGAACCTACGAGGGAGAAGGGTGGTCAGTGGGACCTGGAAGCTGGGGCAGGGCTGGTGGAAGGCAGTGAGGAGCCCGCAGGCTTCCAGCTCCACACGGATACAAGCCCAGCGTCCCTGGAAGGCTTAGGAATGCCTCAGGGTTTGAGAAGGGCAAGCAGCCCTGGAGTGAGATGTAGCCAGGGGACACGCTGGGCTGTTTCCTGGATGGCCAGGTCAATGACCTGGGAGAGCCTTGGCCCAGAGAAGGCTAGACAGGGATAGGAAAAGGAAACTGTGGTCACAGATGTTTACACATCATGGAGGTGACAGAGGAAACATCTTTGAGCCTCAGTTTTCCCGTCAGTAAAACTGCTGAAGTCCACCCTAGGGGTAGAGGCCGCTGTGAGGATTCCACGAGTCAGTGCAGGCAGGGAGGCCACGGGCAGAAGATGAACAATAAACGGTCTCGCCCTTCTTCTTCTTCTTTTTTTTTTTTAATCTGAGACAAAGTCGGGCTCTATTGCCAGACTGCTGGAGTGCAGTGGCTTGATCTTGGCTCACTGCATCCTCTGCCTCCCGGGCTCCAGCCATCCTCCCACCTCAGCCTCTCAAGTAGCTGGGGCTCCAGGTATGCACCAGCACGCCCAGCTAAATTTTGTATTTTTTTGTAGACATGGGGTTTTGCCATGTCGCACAGACTGGTCTCAAACTCTTGGCTTCAAGGGACCCTCCCACCTTGGCCTCCCAAAATGTTAGGATTACAGGTGTGAGCCTGGCAGGTCTCTCCCTTCTCTTCCCACTTCTCTTCTCTATGGCTGCTAAGGGCAGAACTAGGAAAAAACAAAACAAAACCAAACCAAACTACTAAGGTCTAAGGAAGAAGATTCTAGTTCGCAGGAGTGTGGGGTGCACACTCACAGCAGATCAGGGGTGAGCTCCCCATCACTGTAGGAGTGCAAGACAAATGCCAGGGCATGAATGCAGGGACTGGAGGGGCGCTGGGGCAAGGGGCCTCCTAGAGAGCCAGCCGTGGTGCCTACCTCCTTCTCCAGTGCCTCGTGGCCGTCACTTGGGGGCCCTCGGCGCTCTCCGCGGCTTTGGTTGAGCAGGGCAGTGAGGGGCACCCGCTTATTCTCCCGCAGGGGCAGCTTCTCCAGCTCCTGCCACTTCTTCTCGATCTCCTCACTAAGCCGGTTTTGCTGGTCCTCAGTCAGGGGGGCACCCAGGCCCCGGCGCGGCCCCTCACCAGCAGGCACCTCTGGGGTCCTGCTGTCTGTGGCCTCAAACCACTTGCGCCGCTCCTCGGAGCGCTGGGCCAGGTCCCGCTCCAGCTCCTCCTGCTTGGCCAGGCGGTCAGGAGTGCGGGCTGGGGTGCGGGCCCGCTGCGGGGAAGCCTGGGTCAGCGGCGAGAGCTCCACGTAGTCCAAGGCCTGACGCTGCCCGTCCGCCTTCCGAGGGCCACCCCGGCTGATGACCTCAGAGCCCGCCCGCTGCTCCCCTGCCTTCAGGGGGCCCTTCTGGGTGCTGTAGCTGTGCAGCGCGTTCTCCTTGTTAGAGTCCGAGAGCCTAGGGCACCAGCAGAGCCACGTCAGGTGGGTCCTCACCCCTGCAGTCCCACAATGAGCACTTTTGGAGCGACACCTGTGTGCCAGGCCCTGTGCCAGGGGCTGGAGACAGACCCCAGGGAAGGAAGCAGCCCGACCTGAGCTTCCTGGTTAACAGACCCCAGGAACATCCCAGCTCCACCTCTTGACAGCCCAGGGACCCACCAGGATGCCCGGCTTCCCTCGCCCCCGTTCTTGTTTTTGTTTTTCAAGGGACAGGGTCTCACTCTGCTGCCCAGGCTGAAGTAGAGTGGTGTGATCATAGTTCACTGCAGCCTTAAACTCCTTAGCTCAAGTGATCCTCCTGCCTCGGCCTCTGGAGTAGCTGGGACTACAGACATGCACCACCACGCCCAGCTAATTTTTTAAATTTTTGATAGAGATGGGGTCTCAATATATTGCCCAGGTTGGTCTCGAACTCCTGGGCTCACGTGCTCCTCCCACCTCAGCCTCCCAAAGCTCTGGGATTACAGGCGTGAACCACCACACTGGTCTCTTTGCCCTCTTTGAGCTTCAGTGACCTCATCTGTAATGTGGGACAGCGACGCCTCTCACAGGATGGATGTGAGGACAGGGTGGGCGAACGTGGAAAGCAGGCAGGGGGCTTTTTGCAAATGGTGATCAATGAGGTGATGTAGGAGACCAATGTCCCAGGTTCCCGAGGCTCACAGTGGCAAGGGGGATGCCCAGTCACTGCTGATGGGGTGAAGGCGGGACCTCGGGGTGCACAGAACACAAGTTGCAGAGACTCTGAACAACTATGGCAATTCTCTTTATCCACAGTCATAGCTGGGTACGTGGTCACCCTGCCAAAAACTACACTCGCAGTATTCCCACAGCTACTTGTAGCCATGTGACTATAGGCTGCCGAGTGGGTGTGGCAGGTGGCTCCCCTGAAACGGCAGAGCGAGCCCCACCAGGCCAGGACTGCATACCTCGGGGCTGTTCTGAAGGGAGACATGAACATCTATCTCGATGAAGTTACTGTGCCCGGGGTTTCTTTCTTAAAGCAGCTGGGCCTAGATGCTAAATAACAGTCCAACTGCACAGTGCTTCAGAGTTCACAAAGTGCTCTGGGCACATCCTGGCACATGTACAGACATGACATGCTAACGTGACAGATGGGGACTCTGAAACCTAGACAGGAAAGCCTCTGGCCTAAGGCTGAATAGCCGCGGTGTGGCCAGTCTGGGGGACTCGGCCTCCGGGCTCAGGTGATCCTCCCACCTCAGCTGACAGGCGCACCCTACCACGGCCAGCTGATTTTTAAATTTTTTGTAGGGACGAGGTCTCACTATATTGCCCAGGCTGGTCTTGAACTCCTGAGCTCAAGTGATCCTCCCATCTCAGCCTCCCAAATCGCTGGGATTACAGGTGTGAGCCACTACACCCAGCCCAGCCCCCTTTAATACCACACTCTGTTCCCGCTGCCCAGCAGCTCCAAGTCCCAGCCCGCCATGGGCATCTGGGTATAAACTGTGGGGGGCTCTGCCACTCGGTAACTCAGCCCTCCTGCCCCAGTGCCCGTGGCAGCCTCCAGAAGGAGTGAGCTCCCCATCCCGGGAGGTGTGGGCGCCAAGGCTGAACTACCTAACCACCCCTTCCTAACACAGGCTTAGACACGGCCCCCACGGCACAGACACAGAGACAGAACAGCCACCTGGCAGGGGCTTTTGACTCACAGGCATCTCCTCCAAAGAGAAGAGGCCCCATCACATTTGAGAAGACAGATCAAACCTCAAACCCTCAGTGTACTTCTGGATGATACCGAGAATGCTCACTACTCTCTTCCCATGTTGTTGACAGAGAAACGAGGGCCCAGAAAGGTGCAGCCCTCAGGTGAGTACCTAGAAACCCACTCGGGGACGCAAGGGTAAGTGCCTCCCTCAAGGCCCCAGTCCAGCTTAGTACGTACTTGGTGACATCTGGGGCTGAAGTTGGACGTACGGTCTTTCTCAGAGCCTCGATCCAGTTCCGCCGGATGCCTGAGGTCATGGCCGACAAGGTATAGACAGCATCCTTGGTCTGCAAGGCCACCGCATGGGTAGGTTGCCACATGGCCAGCCGCATGACTCCCTCCCCACTATGGACCCCAGGGAGGGTGGCCCTTCCTTCCCAGGATGCATCTAAGGTCTTGAGTCTGGGGTGGGCAGGGGGTACAAAACCTCCCTTCCATTGGCCTGGGAAGAGCCCTGCTGGCTCCAGCGTCTCCCCCAGATATGCTAAGTGTTGGCATCACAGCTCTGGCTCTGAAGATAGGGCCTCTGGGTAAATGAGTGAAGGGATCCAGTCTCCATGGTGAGCCATGTTCAACACCAAAACCTCCCCCAGGGACCTCCAGCCATGCTGCCCACCACCAGCCCCCAAGCTGCACACAGCCTCACGTGGATCTGGAAGCCATAGTTGCGCTGCACCGCGTACTCAGTGACATCCGTGCAGGAACGCAGGTCGATCTCACCATCCAGCTCATCTGCCTGGAGCAAGAGGGCCCACTATGGTCCGTGTGGGCCCTGGTGTGACCCACCCCAGTGAACCCAGCCAGGCCACCCCAGGCCCTTCCGGGGGTTCATCAGTACACCCATGGCCTCACCTCCTCAGCAGTGGAGTCTCTGTAATATTTGAGACTTGAATCTGTCAGCACAAACCAATGTTTCTTCCACTGCGAAGTAGAGGTGGTGGTGAGCGAGGGGGAGGGAGGCTGCAAGGAGGATGGAATGAAAGAGCCAGTGTGTGTGATTGTACAGGTGTCCTGTGTGGCTGCCAAACTCACTATGCTGCACACAGGAGGGGTGGGGAGGCGGAAAATGCCAATTTGAGACCTGGCCCCTCCATTTCCTCTCTGAGCCTCAGGGGTAGCATCTGTGAAATGGATTGGTTTCCCCTCCGTAACCACACCCTCCCTTTCCTTCTTGGAGCTCCTTTTAAGATTGCCAAGGCTCCTCAGGCACCCCGGACCCAGTGCAGACAGGGAGGGGTGATGACCTGTGTAAGCAAGTCAGGGACTCAGCGGGGCCAGGACGTTACGTCTTTTTCCATATTCCCCCAGATCATCACCATGGTCAGGGACAATGGTCCCCTGGGAAGTAGGACTGGATGGAGCCCTGGAGTAGGAGTGAGTGCCAGCCACAATCTGCTGCCTTTTTTTTTTTTTTTTTTTGAGATGGAGGAGTTTTGCTCTTGTTGCCCAGGCTGGAGTGCAATGGTGCAATCTCCACTCACTGCAACCTCCCCCTCCTCCTGAGTTCAAGTGATTCTCCTGTCTTAGCCTCCCGAGTAGCTGGGATTACAGGCGCCCGCCATCATGCTCAGCTAATTTCTTGTATTTTTAGTAGAGATAGGGTTTCATCATGTCAGCCAGGCTGGTCTCAAACTCCTGGCCTCAGGTGATTCACCTGCCTTGGCCTCCCAAAGTGCTGGGATTACAGGCGTGAGCCACCGCGCCCAGATGCACGGTCTGCTTCTTGAACTGTAGGCTGGCTACCCACATCCGCAGCAGGTGAGAGCGCCCTAAGCTGTAAGTTTAGGATTTGTGATTGGGTGCCTTCCTGCAGTGCCTGTCTCTGCTCCAGCTGGGGTTAGATTGGCAGGACATGTAGGAAAGGGGTGGGGGCGCCAGAACAGCCTGATAGTATGCCAAGCCCAGCCCACCTCTGGGCTTCTGGTCACTCCACTGGAATGCCAGTCGCGGCCCGCCCACTGCCAGGGTCAGTGCATATCACCCGGTCCCCAGCCCTCCCAGGGTTCCCTCACATCACCAAGCCCTGTCTGTGCTGTTGGTTGTTTCAAGTACTTAGTTTTCTCTCCTCAAGAAGATGGTAAGTTCTCAAGGGGCATGCAACGACGATACCTTCTGCTTCTTTCCACATTGCCTCCCTGAGAAAAGGAGTTTTGTATCCAAGAGTTCCCTTTCTCTCTGTGTGCCTTTAGGCAAGTGTCTCCACTTTTCTGAGCTTCAGTCTTCTGAACCATAAAGTAGGGCTACTAAGAAGTCCCTATAGCTGGGCGCGGTAGCTCGCGCCTATAATCCCAGCACTTTGGGAGGCTGAGAAGGGTGGATCATCTGAGGTCAGGAGTTCGAGACCAGCCTGACCAACATGGAGAAACCCTGTCTCTACTAAAAATACAAAAAAAAATTAGATGGGCATGGTGGCGCATGCCTGTAATCCCGGCTACTCGGGAGGCTGAGGCAGGAGAATCGCTTGAACCCGGGAGGCGGAAGACACAGTGAGCCGAGGTTGCGCCACTGCACTCCAGCCTGGGCAACAAGAGTGAAACTCTGCCTCAGAAAAAAAAAAACAAAAATAAAAAACAAAAAAAGAAGTGCCTAGACCTTCTGGTGAGGCGAGCGGCGCCCATCCTCTCTTGTGTGGATGGCTGTCATGGCCCTTGGCATAGGGATGGACACCAACCAGGTTGCTGGGTTTGTTCTGGGAGGCCAGGCCTCTTAGAAGCATTTTCCTCTCACTAAGTAAACGGAGTTGCTGCTGCAGACCTCAATTGCCTCTCTGTAAAGTAGGACAGGGGTTCTATGCCAAGAGGTTTCTTTAGCTCTTCCAGGCCTAGCCTATGACTGTCTGAGATGGAAGCTGGGTGGAGCTCCATGGGCCTCAGGTGCGCTGAGTTCTGAGCCTGGGTCTGCCCCAGGTGCTCCTAGGCCTGGAAGAGACCAACACCCTCATGGGCCCGTCTCCTGTCTGTGCACCAAGGGGTTGGGCTGGCTGAATTCCCAGGGCCCTTCCAGTTCGGACATTCCAGAACCCTGTGATAGAGGATGACTAATGGCCAGCTCTGGGTGGGGCCTGTAATCCCTCTGCCCTCCGGGGACCCTGGGTGGGGAGGCCAGGAAGGGGTCACTGGCGGGGTGCCGGGCTTTGTGTGAGCCTAGAGAGCAGCCACCAGGGACAGCGGGCAGGCAGCGGGTAGGGAAGGCTGTGGGCTGGAGGGAATAAAACATGTGGGCCGGAAACACAATGAAATCCCCTCTGGCTCAAAGCCCTCTCCGGCATGCAGGCTGCACGCAGACCAGAGCAGCAGGCGCATGCAGGGCAGGGGTGGGGAGACGCTCCTGCCCAGGCAGTGTGGGCAGGGAGCCAGCCTGGCAGCCGAAAGAACAGAGCTGAGGAAACAGCCACTGTCCCTGCTGGTTCCAAGGACACATATGCCAGAGGAAGGGAAGGGTCTTTAGCTGAGCCCACAGTAAGTGCCAGGAGCTTTGTGGCACCTGTACGTGCTTGATCTCTCTGACCTTGTTATCCACTCTAGAAAGAATCACCATTATCCATTATGCCCATGTCACAGACGTGGCCACTGAGGACTAGAGGAGGCTTTGACTCAACCAGTGGGGATCCAGGTGGGTGAAACCCCAGCACCTGCGCCCTGAGCCCCACCCCCCTCAGACCAGGCTTTAGGAATCTGTGTCTCGGGCCAGACAGCTTCTACGAGCCCTTCCACCCAAGACCCTTGACTCCCACCCAGGCTCCTACTGAGGTGGCAGGGCCAAGAGACTCTTGATGAGATCAAGGGATGGGGCACTGGGTGTGAGGGGCTAGACGGCCCCTTGCTGTGATCCCTTTTACACACTGCAGACTGCTCCAGGAGGCAGAAGCCTAATGGGCAGCCTCCACCCCTCCCAGCCCCACCCCCAGGGTTCTCACACCAGCCCCAGCCCCACCCCCACTCCTGGGCTGCCCAGGGGCCCAGCAGCAGCACAAGCCAGCTTCCTCCCCTCCGGCCTCAGTCCTCTTACCTCTCCAGGCTCGTCCAAGATCGACATCCATCCCTTCTTGAAGTTGAGCAGATCGGGCTGTGGGGAGATGAGGAGGGAGGTGAGTTGGGTCCAGCAGGAAGCCAATGGGGGCTGGTGAGGGGAGCGTGCTGCACCCACCCTGTCCCCAAGTCCTGTGGGACCGAGCTCCTGGGAAGCCAGCCAAGAGGGCTAAGGCCCTAGGTAACCCCCAAGTCCAAGCAGGCCTCCCAGCCACTGAGGCAGCCCTGGCCCCTTTCCTGATAGTGGCACTCAGAGAGCCAAGAAGTTGGGCTGGGTGGCTGGCACACACACCCAGATGTCCCAGGGGCCTCTCTCCAGCCGACCCCTCGCCCAAGAATGGGAGAGAGGGGCTGGGAGGACTCTGCCTGCATAGAGACCCCCTGAGAGCTCAGAGGGCAGTCCAGACCAGCAGCACTGCGCGAACTGTCCAGTTCCTCCCTCTGACGAGGACCAAGTGCCCCACGGACCCTCCCATGGGCCCGCCAGTCCTGTCCTTTCCTCGGCTCCAGGAGACTATGGGAGGTGGAGCCAGTCACAGGCTGGGGTCAGAAACCCTCTGGTCCCCGCCTAGATCTCTTTGGGAAGGGTCAGTCCTGGCAAGCCCTACCTTCTGGGTGCCGCCCAGGGGGGCACAGCCCCGGGGTCTGGGGGCTACCAGCTGCAGCATGTCCCATGGAGACCTGTGCCAGGCACCCCCACCCAGGCCTAGATAAAGAAGTTGCTCATCCTGATATTTTTCTGACCATGCTCATCTAGTGGGTGCCAACCACCAGACCCTCCCTTCCTGCTGGGGAGACCTCTCTCATCTAAGTCCCGGTCCCTCTGCAGTCTCCGCTCCTGGCGCCGGCAGGGAGGAGGTGGCCACCGGTTGCCATGGCTCTGAGCCTACCTATCAGCCCCTACATCGAGGCCTCACCAGGCCAAGGTGTCTGGTTGCCTGCAGAGAACGGGTGGCATGGCTCAGTGGAGTGGGCGGTGACAGTGGCAGCTGGAAACCACAGCCACCCTGCCTGGCCACCTCTCCCGACCCACTCTCCACCCACGGAGCCCCTTCTCAGGTATAGGAAGTGGACCAACCGGGGCTTGGGACAGCTGAAGATCCAGAACCTTCCACAGCCACAGTCGGGGGACCCAGTAGGTTGGCATCCCAGCCCCTCCCTGTATACCTGTCTAAGGGAGAGACACAGGCTCTGCTCACGGCCGAGAACCCCTGGGGCTGCGTTTGTCCCGCTGCTCTGTATTCTGCCCACCCCGTCTTCCACCTGAGACGGAGGCTGCCCAGGGCGATCCCAAGCTAAGAATGAAGATTGGTGACCACACCTGGCTCCACTTCCCCTCAGTCTGGGACCTCCTGTGGCCCCAGGGCCTTGCAGGGGGCTTGACCACAGCAAGGCTCAGGAAAAACTTGCTGAGGAAATATCTACCCCCTGGTCTAAATTTCTGTGCTTTTTGGGCCATCTCCCCTACCCCCACCTAGCCCGGAGGAGCCAGGCTTCCTGGGCCCACAGAGCTGGCACCACTGGGCAGTCCCAGGCGAAAGTCCCTGGGCCAGGGCTGGGAGATTGGGGCAGGAATGACAAGCTGTCAGGCTGGAACCTCTAGGGCTGCCTGGGAAGTGGAGTCACTGTGACCTTCCTAAGTCACATCCCCTCTCTGAGTCCTGGCTGCCTGATGTGGCAAATGACGGGGCGGTCCTCCCCTCCCGCAGCTTCCGACAGGACTGAACGTGTCTGTACAAGGAGAAACCTAGTGATCCTCCAGAGCCCAGTACAGACACATCACATACCATGTCAGGCACGCCATGACACAGTGACCTTGGGGATAGAAGGTCACCAATTTGAGTTTTGTTTTGTTGAGACAGGGCCCTGCTCTGCTGCCCAGACTGGAGTGTGGTGGTGTGATCACAGCTTACTGCTGACTCAACCTCCTGGGCTCAAGCGATCCTTCCACCTCAGCTTCCAAGTAGCCGGGACGACATAAGCACTCCACCATGCTCAGCTAATTTTTTTTTTTTTTTTTTTTTTGTAGAGATGGGGTCTCCCTATGTTTCCCAGGTTGGTTTCAAACTCCTGAGCTCAAGTGATCCGCTCACCTCGGCCTCCAAAAATGCTGGGATTATAGGTGTGAGCCAATGTGCCCGGCCAACCAATGTGAGTTTTTAAACTGGCAGGGAAACCTGTCCCCAGGGTCAAAAGGTCCGATCATCTAAATCTCCCACGATGCCCCTTCATACAGGGCTCTTCAGGCCCAGCTACCTCTTCTTCACCTGCTAGAAGCTCAGTTTCTCCTTCCGCCTTTCGGGAGTACTGGCAGGTTCTCACAGCCCCGCCTCCTACCTGGCCAGGCACACAACCCCTCTACACACCCTCGGGCTGGCGGGACTCACTCAAAAAGGCTTGGTATCCCAGGCTTGCTTAACAGTTCCAGGGACGGCTCCAGGTGGCTTGCTTTATTTTTGAGACAGAGTCTCTGCTGCCCAGGCTGGAGTGCAATGGCGCCATCTCGGCTTACTGCAACCTCCACCTCCCGGGTTGAAGCGTTTCTCCTGCCTCAGCCTCCCAAATACCTGAGATTACAAGCACCCACCACCATGTCCAGCAAATTTTTTTATTTTTAGTAGAGATGGGATTTCACCATGCTGGCCAGGCTGGTCTCGAACTCCTGACCTCAAGTGATCCATCCACCTCAGCCTCCCAAAATGCTGGGATTACAGGCACACATAAGCCACTACACCCGGTCTCCAGGTGGCTTTAAAACAAAGTCCAGCTGCCTCAGGATGGCAGGGAAGCCTCATCACACTCTTCCAGCCTGGCCTCCCCTTGCTGAGGGGCCCCTGTTTATACCACTGCATATTCCTTGCCGATCACAACACACCAGGACTCCGGGCCCTTCATATGTGCCATGTCCTTGGCCTGAAACACTATGCTTCCTCCTCCTCCGATGACTAGGCAAGCGGCTACTCAGGCCTTAAGACCCAGCTTAATGGCCACCTCTGAGGTCCCTTCACAGTTCATGCCACTCACCGCACCACCAGCCGCCCCCGTCCTGCCCTCCCATGGCCCCTCTCAGAGGCCTCTGTTGCATCCGTGACTATCTTGAGGCCCTTTACTTATCCTTCACAGGCTAGATTAGATGCAACTCACAGTCAGGGACATACACTGTTTACCTGCCAGGACCCAGCACAGATAGGGGCTCAGGGAGTGTTTGCAGAAAAAAAAATTTTTTTTTAAAGTTATCAGGCACTGTTCTAGGCCAGGAAATTAGCTGTGACCAAGAGCTGTGGCCCCTGCCCTGGTGGACTGTAGGAAAGAGACAGTAAACAAGGGACCAAATATAATTTGATGCCCAGCAGGCGAGGGGGAAGGCTGATCCGGGAGCAAAGCTGCACCCAGGCAAAGGCAAAAGGGGTGGAAGAGAATCCCAACTCCCTGAAGCCCCGGAGCCTCACACACTCACACACCTGTGCCACTTGCTCTGTATGGATCCCTGATTCAGGGCACGGGGGCCAGGGGAGGAGGGTGTGAGGTGGGTACAGGAGGAGCACCAGCTGAGAGCAGGCTGAGGTCTGCATGGCAGCCAGGATGAACTCAATGAACACTATTAATGGTGATCATAGCCTCCTCTCTGCTCTAAAAGCTTTCATGGCTCTCTATTGCCCCTGTCCAAGCCCTAGCAGTGAGGCCCTCCTCCCCAGACCCCTTCCCTACGCTCTTGCTACTTCTCAAACATGACCACCCGTTTCTGTCCACACTGCTGTCTCCTCGCTAGTCCATCTCCACCTGACAAGGCCCTATAATCACAGGAGGACACCTCCCTCAGGAAGGCTGCTGCCACCAGCAGGGATGTGCTGTCCATCTTCCAAGCACCCCACACGCTGCTTCCGGCAGCCTTACCCTTGCTCAGCACGTGCTGCCCCCAGGACAGGCAACTGTGAAAGAAAGCTGGAACGGACCTGGATACAAATTCTGGCTTAGCCTGGGACTCACTGAGTTACCTGGGGCATGACACTTCACCTCGCCACACCTTGGTTTCCTCATCTGTTTGATTAAGATGTTACTACCAACCTTCAAGGATCAAATCTGGTAACGTGAAAGCACCCGGCTGAGGGCCGGGCAGGCACCCGGTGGGCAAGGCAACTTCTCTCCTCCTGGCCCCAGGACACTGACTCAGCTCCTCCCCCCACATCCCTTCTGCTCCTGACAGAAAAGGGGAGGCTGCTGACGACAGGAAGGGCCAGCAGGGAGGTGGCAGGATGTCCAGGAGGACGCCGAGGAAGTCCAGGCCATCACACTCACAGGGCAGGGGCTAGGCGTGCCACGCCCCCCAGCAGCCCAGCCCGCCCCCAGCAGCCCACCCACTCCTCCGCAGGGTCTCCACTCCCCTGAAAGAGGCCTACTGCCGCCTGTGCACACACACACCCTGCTCATCCTCCCCCAGGAGGGCCACTGGGCTGTCAGAGCCTCCCTGAAGCACTAGCCAGAAACCAAAAGCAGCCCCACCCCTCCCTTCCCGAACATCACGGTCAGTGGGCCAGAAGGACAGGGAAAGGAGCTACTCCTTCTCTTATACTTGGGGTGACCTCGGGCAACTCACCAGCGCCCCTCCCCAAGCCTCAGTTTATCTGGCTGTGAAGTGGGGAGTCCAGCGAACCCAGCTGTGAGGCTCAATATGCTAACTATGGCACAGGTAATTGATGGGGCTTGGGTACAGCTCACCCCCATGAGAAAGGCAAACCCCTGCCATCATGCCCCCTACTCAGACTCGCAGGCTTGTCCCAAGGCCCCAGGACCGCTGCAAAGTGCAAGCCCAGGAAGACGTGGTATCCCGCTGCTTCAGACGTCCCGGGACTGCCTCCCGGGCTGTGGGTGGGGCGGTCCGGCCACTTCTCGCCCACCCGACCTCGGGCCAGCGGCCACACGGAGGGCTGGCTTGCCCAGGCCCGGGTCAGCGCGACCCATCCGCACCCACGAGCGCCCCTCCCCAGCCCAGGCCCACCTCCGCTCCTCCCTGGGGCCCCTGGCCGCCTTGGGGAATCGGGTCTTCGTCTAGGGGGCTGGAGGGGAGGTGGGAAAGGGTCGCCCCGAATCCACCCGTGACTGGTGCCGCAAGTGTGAGGAGGGGGCGCCCGAGACGGGTCGTTCCGTCCCCTCAGGGTCGCCTGGGCTCCCGGGGGCGAGTGGGCGAGGGAAGGCGAGGAGGAGCCTGCGGGAAGGGTGAGGCCGGTCTGGCCGAAAGCGCTTCGGAGGTGGCCCCGTCTTCCGGCCCAGCCCTCCTCTCGCCTTCGGGAAATGAGGAGGGGGCTGCCCCGGAGGGGAGAGGCTGGGCTCTGCCTCGGGTCGTCGCCCTTCTCCCGGCCTCGGGCGCGGGCGGCTGACTGGGGCACTCACCGTCATGGCGGCGCCCCAGGGCGGCGGGAGCAGGAGGCAGGAACGTGGACGCGGCTCTCGGGCCGGGCTCCGCGGCGCGGGAACCCCGCCGCCGCCGCCGCCGCCGCCCCTCTCGGCCGCCCGCCGCCGCGCCTCCGGCCCTTCCTTTCCCCGACGCTGCCCCGGCCCCTTCCATCCGCCCATAAAACTTTTTTTTTTTTTTTTTCAAACTTCCTGGGAGGACCCGAGCGGGCCAATGGGTGGCGGGGAAGCCGAGACAAACAGCGGCGGGGGCCGCGGCGGGCCAATGGAAGCGCGAGACGGGCCGGGGGCGGGACCTGCCGCAACGGGACGGGCGCGCTAGGGCGGCGGGGCGGCGGGACGGCGGGACGGCGGGGTGGGCGGATGGGGCCGCAGGGAAGGGAGGGCGGTGGCGGCCGGAGGGCGGGCGGGCCCGGGCCGCGGGCGCGCTGGGAGGAAGGAAGGGCCCAGGGTGCAGGTGACTCCGGCAATGGCGCGGGGGCGGAGGATGCGGGCGGCCGGGCGTGGGCACGACTCGCCCAGGCTGCGCTTCCCGACCCGGCCCCGGAGCGATGGGTCCGCTAGGGCTCGGCGCCGTGATTTGGCGGGGACCGGGGCAAAGCACCCAGTACTAACGACTCAGCGGGTCCCACTCGCCAAGAGTCGATTTTCGTCCTCACCACAGACTTGGGAGGGAGGTCTTATTTTGCTAATGAGAAAACGGAGGCTCAGAGGGGTGAGCCGATTTGCCCGAGGTCACACAGGAAGAGGCGGAATTCCTAGCGAGTAAGCTGGACACAAAGTGAGTTCTTGGATGGCAGGGTCTCTCCCAAATGCCCACTCCTCACAAATGGGTCTTTTTTGGTTTGGGGTTTTTCAGGTGTGGGCGTGCACCCGTTGCTCAGGTTCCCAGAACGCTGGGCCGTTTGTTAGATGCTCTTTTCCTGCAGGTGAGTAGGGACCGTGGTGGAATTGGTTGCTAAATGCACTAGGAAGTTCGTGTGGCACGGGGATTCCAGCCTAGTGTTACCTTAAGCAAGGCACCTCTCGGTGCTCAATTTCACTCTCTGTAAAATGGGGTAATGCTGTTACCTCATGAGGTTGCTGGAAGGATTAAGTGTTAATTCAAGTAAGGCACCTAGGACAACCTCTTTATCCCTCATTAGCTATCCTTAGGCAAGGAGGCAGGGAAGCTTGGAATAATTGGCATTTCAATTATTCTGTCATCTTGATTTGGGGTTCAAAAATTATTGCCCTTGCCGGGCGCGGTGGTTCAGGTCTGTAATCCCAACACTTTGGGAGGCTGAGGTGGGTGGATCATTGAGATCAGGAGTTCAAGAGCAGACTGGCCAACATGGTGAAACCCCGTCTCTACTAAAAATACAAAAATTAGCCGGGCGTGGTGTCAGGCGCCTGTAATCCAGCTATGTAAAAGGCTGAGGCAGGAGAATCGCTTGAACCCGGGAGGCAGAGGTTACAGTGAGCAGAGATTGTGCCACTGCACTCCACCTTGGGAGACGGAGCGAGACTCCCTCTCAAAAAAAAAAATTATTGCTTTTATAATTACTGTTCCCATTTTGCAGATAAAGAAATGGAGGCCCAGGGAGCTGAAGTTCTTTCCCAGCATTTGCTGCCAGGAGTCTCTCCACCATGAGGAATGAGGCCAAGGTTAAGTCCATCTAACTCTAGAAACTGGCCTTCTGGCACCCCGGGCTGAGTTTTCTCACCCTACCCTTGCACCTCACTCAGGCAGTCAGTCCTTGGGAGAGTGAATGAACACGCAGGAGACCTCACCTACCACCAGGGTCCTGGTCCAGTGCCCTGGGCACCTAACAGCACCAGCCTCCTCCAGGCTTTTCTGGCCCCTGCGACTCCTCCTAGTACCCGCAACACAGTGACCAGACCACTTCCCTGCTCAAAGTTCTTCCACACATCACCAATGCTGACAGATCAGTGCTACATTCCTCTTCTAGGCAGTCAGGAACCATCACAACCTGGCTCCTGCCTGTCATCCTGGCCTTCCAGATTCTCATTTGACAGGCTGGAGAGACACATACTTTGGTCAATTTTGCAAAATACAATAAGTAAATAAAGAGATGCACAGCACTGGAGGCTGGGCGCGGTGGTTTATGCCTGTAATCTCAGCACTTTAGGAGGCCGAGGCGGGTGGATCACCTGAGGTCAGGAGTTCGAGACTAGGCTGGCCAACATGGTGAAACCCCGTCTCTGGTAAAAATACAAAAAATTAGCCGGGCGTGGTGGCACATGGCTGTGATCCCAGCTACTTGGGAGGCTGAGGCAGGAGAATCGCTGGAACCTGGGAGGCGTAGGTTGCGGTGAGTGAAGATCACACCACTGCATTCCACTCCAGCCTAGGCAACAGAGCGAGACTCCATCTCAGAAAAAAAAAAAAAAAAAAAGATACACAGCACTGGACTACTAGGAATTCCCAGGATAAGACAGGTCCTTCTACCCCCTGATGGTTCTCTGCTGTGCCTGGAACACTTCTCTTCCTGTCTTCTGTACCCCAGCACACACACACACACACACCCAGCACACACTCACACACACCCAGCACACACACACACACACACACACACACACACACACACACACACATTCTCTCTCTCTTTCTCCCCTTCCCCCTCCCAATGCTTGTTGGCCTGGAAAATTTCTTCCTTGAAGTCTCAGACCAAAGGAAGCCAAAGTGTCCCCAGCAGACTTAGGAACTGCTGGCCCAGTGCTCCCTACATCTGTACCTTTCCCCACTAAAGTGGTGACCACACTGTTCTCATCAGTTACATGTCAGTGTCCTTACCTAACTGGGCTCCAGTGGCCAGGGCTGGAATGTTTTTTGTCTACATCTTGGAAACCAGCCTAGGGCCTAAGCCCACAGCACATCCTCCGTAAGCACGGCTCGAATGAATGAATGCACCAATGAAGAAACCACAACTCATCCTGGCAGGTCAGAGACAGCACAGCCTCAGGGACCCAGGGGTGAGTTATTAAACTGGCAAAGACCAGAGCTACCAAACTTCGAGGTTATCCAGTCTCAAACCGTTACTCTACTGAGAATAATAAGGTAAGGCTCAGAGAAGGGCACACAAGTTAGGTGCCAAGCCAGAACTCGACTCCAGGCTTTCTGGCTCTTGGCCTTGGGCTAATTTCACTGCTTCAGCCCAAGAGAAGTTTAAATCTGCTCTGTGTAACTGGGAGGCCCTGCTGGCAGTTCCATCCCTAGCTCTTCATTTCCCTCACTCCCACATGAGAGAACCACTGTAGCCAACCTCACCAAGCCTCGGTTGCCGCATCTTTCTAATGGGGAAAATCTGTGGGGACTCCCAGAGCTGCAGGAGGGCTCAGAGAGATCAGGATGTGAAGGCAGTGGTGTAGGGGGCGTGTTGGAAGCACTGGGCTCTGAGGTCAGCCAGAGCAGGGTCTGAATCTCAGTTCTGCCCCTTGCTCCCTGTGTGACCTGGAGCAAGTGACCCTCCCTCTCTGAGCTTCACTTCATCATCTGTAAAATGGACAGTAGGCGTCTAACTGCACCTGGGAGTGTGGATCAAATGCAATTAGGTGGCGCCATGCAGTGAACACAGAGCTGGGCATGTAGTAGGCATACAATAAGTGCTGGTTAGCCAGCATCATTACCCCAGAGTGCTTTCCCTGCTTCGCTCCTCCTTCGCTCTACCAAGGACTTACCTGCCCCCTCCTGCCAGACGTGCTGTGTGTTGGTGACCTTTAGTTAGACAAGGTAATTCCTGCCCATGGCTTAAAGGTACCACACTACTCAGATAACCATGCTTGCCTGCTCACCCTCGGTGCCTTAACCACAAAGAGCAGCGAAAGGAAATTCTGGGCTCAGCTGGGTGACTCACGCCTGTAATCCCAGCACTTTGGGAGGCCAGGGCGGGCGGATCACTTGAAGTCAGGAGTTGGAAACCAGCCTGGCCAACGTGGTGAAACCCCATCTCTACTAAAAATATAAAAATTAGCCAGGTGTGGTGGCACACGCCTGTAGTACCACATACTCGGGAGGCTGAGATGGCAGAATCGCTTGAACCTGGGAGGCAGAGGTTGCAGTGAGCCGAGATGGTGCCACTGCACTCCAGTCTGGGGGTAGAACGAGACTCTATCTTAATTTAAAAAAAAAAAAAAAAAAACGCCTGGCGTGGTGGCTCACACCAATAATCCTAGCACTTTGGAGGTCAAGGTGGGCGGATTACCTGAGGTCGGGAGTTCAAGACCAGCCTGGCCAACATGGTGAAACCCTGTCTGTACTAAAAATACAAAAAATTAGCCGGGTGCAGTGGCGCACGCCTATAATTCCAGCTACTCTGGAGGCTGAGGCAGGAGAATCACTTGGACCCGGGAGGCAGAGGTTGCAGTGAGTAGAGATGGTGCCACTGCACTCCAGCCTGGGCGATAGAGCGAGACTCCGTCTTAATTTTTTAAAAAAAGGAAATTCTGAAGTGGATGGGAAAGTTAGTGTTTCGACAACAGCCCCGCAACCTCCATGCATCCTGATCTCCCTGAGCCCTCTCTGCAGCCCTGAGTCTCCACAGACTTTTTCCTAATAGACAGATGTGGCAACCGAGGCTCAGTAAGTTTGGCTACAACCCTTCTCTCATCTGAGAATGAGGAAAATCAGCTCCTTTATACCCCAAGCTGTGCGACCTCAGGCAAGTCAGCTCACCTCCCTGGGCCTCAGTCCCTTCATCTGTAAAATGGGCACACTGTCTCTGAGGTGCCCAGCCTAGTGCTGGACTCAGAGCCAACAGCGGTGAGTAAGAGAGTCAGCCTCTCAAAGAGAGAAGAGACCCCATGAGCCAGCCTGTGGCTGCTGGAGATGGCCAGGCCCCTTCTGTCCTGCTGTGAAGCGGGTGGGAGGGAGCGGGTCTCAGCTGCCTGCCCTTGTGGAAAACCCAGCCAGAGGCTTGAGTGTTTCCAGGCCTCTCTGGGCAGGGGATGGGTTACGTAACGCCAGATGTTTGTGAAACTGGCTCAGGCCCAGGTCTGAGACACACTTTGCAATCCCAGAGCCACTTATAAGCTCGCCTTCCCTTCCCCCATACCTGGCTCCCCGTTGGCCCAGGGCTGGCGAGAGGCTGCTGATTGGAAGCTTTCAGCTGTGTAGATTATTCCATCACCCCTCACTCCAAAAGCTGAAAGCAGCCCCCAAGCCTGCCCCGGAAGTGGGAAACCCACTCGCTTGCTGAGACCAGGATGAGCTTAAGAGCTCTGCTCCCACCTCTCCTGTCATGCGACGGCCCTAGGTGCCTCCTCCTCAGCCCCCACTCTCTCTCCTTTGCTTAACAGCCCCCTCCTCCCTCCCATCCCCGTCTCTATCCACCCTCACCCCTCCAGTCCCCACTGGAGCCAGCCTACCCTTCGCCACCTGAGGACCCCCAGAGACAGCAGGAACGGATTGAACAGCGTGGGCCGGTCCCCGGGCATCCGCCATGAGGTCACCAGTCGGCCCTTGAGCGGGCTCCCAGCCTTGCCCTCTGCTGGCCTCTTGTCTGCCTGTCAAACAGGGTCCAGTGTTGGCCCCAGGTCCCTTTGGCAGGATGGGGGCACCCCTGGCTACAGCCTCCCCTGCCCATTCTGTGGTGCCCCCCACCATGGAGCCCCAGGGTTCCCATCTTTCTCTCCTCCCAGAACTGCCGAGACGAGCTGGTTAACTTGTTCACACTACATCGTGTTGGACTGACAAGGCTCCCAGGGCTCAGCACCTTTGAAGGTGTGCACGTCATCACCCTAAAGTCAAACCACGGGCGCCAGCTGGAGGGGGTGCAGACCACAGGTATGTTTCTGCCCACATAGTGTTTTCAGAGTATTTCACATTAGGTTAGAGATTTCACATATAAATACATATCTCCAGTGTTTCTTGAAATATCGAAAGATGTGGAAACTCTGGGCCCGTCTTCCCCATGGCAACAGCTATCTGGAACCGAGGAGTCACACAAGTGCCCTCGGTGCCCCCCCACCTTCTCACCATTGTTACCTGCCTGGCCTTCAGGGCGTTAGGTTTGTGACCCCAGCTTAAGCAAAGGGAATGAGTTGTGGACTTCTACACACATTCCTAGCAGAGCCCCCAAATGCTCCCTCTTTGGAGTCATCCTCGTTGGGGAAACCAAGGCCCCTGTGAAGCAGAGGCACTTGTCCAAAGCCACACATGGGTTACTGGGAAGGTAGGAGAGAGCCCAGGGTCCTCGCTCTGGAATCTGCAGACTCTTTGGAAGTGGAACTTGAAGCATCAAAGCACAGGTCCAGGAGGGCTTTGGGGGTAGGGGTGCCCCCGACCCTGCTACCACATTCCCCATCACAGTCCTGACCACAGGCATGCAACCATCTCACTAGACTGAACTCTTTGATGGCGCTCCGACTCACCTGTGACCCACACCTGGGTATACAGAAGGTGCTCACTAAGTGTGTGTGAAAGAATGCATGAATGAGGTGGTTATCAGTTCTGACCAGTCAAGGCTGCCTAGGGGTGGGGGTAGGTTGAGATATTTTCCACGTTGATGGGCCGGGCCCGTTTCATGGAGACTAGAGGGGCACCCCGGCATTGCTGTTTCCGCCTCGTTCACTACTCTGGCTCCAGGATATGAAGAAATAACCCAGAAAGAGGAAGAGCAAAGTTGTCAGAGTCCCTGGGAGGGCTGGCAGCGCCTTTAGCGACCAGTGTCCCCTGTCCCCGCCCATTCCACAGATGGGAAGACTGGACTGCTCGAAGTTACAGCACTGCCGTTCGAAGCCACGCAAGAAATCGGGGCAGGGACGGGGGCAGCATGGGTGCCAGGTGGAGGTGCAGAGAGAGCGCTGGGTGGTTCCTGGGCCCTGGGTTCTAGTCCCAGTCCAGCTAGCCACTGACTGTATAACCTGGGACGACTCCCCTGCCTCCATTTCCTCATCTGCACAGTGAGGGTTTGGGCAGAATTCCCCCAGCTTTGACTCACGGCAGGGCCCTACTTGGGGGGCGCTATGCTGCCCAATGGACGCTCCCTGCCACCCCTGGCTTCAGGAGGCAACGGGAGGAAGAGCAGGACCGGAAAACACAGCCCCAAACAGTCTGTCTCCTCCTCCCCCACCTCCCACTGCCCCACGGCCCTCAACTCTGATCTCACCTCTCTGGAGGCTGAGGGTGACGAGAACAGTCTGTTTGGTAGGTCACGGGGAGGGGCGGGCAGAGTTGTGCTCACCAGCTGCAGCCAGGCCTCAGAGCAGCATCCGTGGGTCCCACCCCCGCACATATCTCTCCCGCCTCCAGGACCCTGGAGACCCTCCAGGCCTGGCTGACTGGGTACATCCTCAGCTCTCTGGCTCCTGCTCGTGGAAGCCCTGCTCTTTCAGCCTGGCCTGGCCCTTTCAAACCGGAAGGATCTCTTCCCACAGAGACCACTGGGGCCAAACCATCATTTGCGCAGGGAAAGACATTGACCTTTTCAGTCCCAGCAAATGAGAAGCATGGCCTAGGGTTCTGACCCCAGGATCGCCCACCTACCCAGGTCCCCAAGCCAGAAGGTGGCTCCTGCAGAGCCCCTCTTCTTAAGGCCCCACCATGCACATAGATGACCCCATGGCAATGCCAACTTTGGTCTGGTTGATTCTAGGGCTCTTCTGAGGAATGAAGCCCATCTCCAACCTGCTTCCCCCTCCCTTCCCCACCGTATGTACCCACACCCATGACCCAGCTACCGAGTCTGCCTGCTTCTGGTCAGTCAGGGGGTCTTGGCCTCTGCTTGGTTCTGACTCCTCAGGCTCCTCTGGTTGGAACTGGAGATTAAAAAAAGAACACAGCTTAGCCCAACTTATTCTCCAGGATGCATGCATCTGTCCACCTCATCCATCCATTCTATCATCTGTCCATGCAACACCCATCTAACGTCCAGCATCAGTAGATCCATGTATCCATCCAACCATCCAGTGTCTATCACATGACTCACCCTCTCATGTACCCATCATCCATTGTCTATCACCCATTCATGTATCTACCCTCCATTGATCCATCACATATCCATTTACCCAATACCTACATATCCCTCTCTCCATCCATCATCCATCTACCCATATCTCCAACATCTATCATCTGACATTCATCCACCCATGCCACATCTATCCATTCATATTCCACCCAAAGTTCATCCATCCATCACCTAAGCAACATCCATCATATATCCACCACCACCATATATTCATCACCCAGCTATCCATCCATCATCACCCATCTGTCATCCATCCAAAAGATGTCTATTATTCATTCAACATGCATCATTGATCCATCATCCATTCACACATTCACCCTCCATTCATTCATTGTTCACCCACTGACCCCTGTGTCCTCCATCTTGCATGCATCCACTGAGCTGTCCCCTCCTTTATGTCAGGCCCTGGGCCAGAGCTAGAGTTACAGAGATAAAGCAGGTAGAGATCCTGCCTGTGTGGAGCTTATGGGGAAATGACAACCCTATTAGATGGATGTTGCATGGACAAATGGAAGCAAAACTGCCAAGCCCAGAAGGGGACCATTACTAGGAGTGACTGTTCAGGGAAGGCTTCTCAGGACAGGGAGCCTGACCTAAGACTTCGACAATGAACAGGCGTTTGGTGGCTGAACAGGGAAGAGCATGTGCAAAGGCAGGGATATGTGCTCACAGGCCCTGCAGCCAGCTCAGCACCAATGAGGCAAATCCGGAGTGGAAGGAAGGGAAGCCGGCCTTGAGTGCCATGCCAAGGATTTTTTTTTTTTTTTTTTTTGAGATGGAGTCTCGCTCTGTCACCCAGGCTGGAGTGCAGTGGCGTGATCTCGGCTCACTGCAACTTCCACCTCCCGGGTTCACACCATTCTCCTGTCTTAGCCTCCCAAGTAGCTGGGACTACAGGCACCCGCCACCACGCCCGGCTAATTTTTTGTATTTTTAGTAGAGACGGGGTTCCACCGTGTTAGCCAGGCTGGTGTCGATCTCCTGAGCTCGTGATTTGCCTGCCTCAGCCTCCCAAAGTGCTGGGATTACAGATGTGAGCCACTGCACCCAGCTGTGCCAAGCCAAGGATTTTCATAGAGAGGAGCAGCTGGAGCCCCAGCAGGACCTGGTGGTTACTCGTTTTGTCATCTGTGAAATTCCTTTCAGTACATGGTGCTCCCATCCCTTCCCAGCCACCATCTCCTAGCCTCCTGAGAACCCTGAGCTTCACCATGAAACTGAAGAATCTTTCTAACTTCCTTCTTGACCTGGCCGGCCTGTGGCACCCAGCATGCCCCGGGACACAGCACCGTGTCCTCCTTGAGCTGTCTGTGTGCCTTCCTAACAAGCCTGACAGCAATCTGAGGGCAGGACGAGCTGACTTATCCCTGCTTCTCTGATGTCCACGCATTGAGTTGATTGGAGGGTCAACTCATCAAAGCCACAGGGAAATACAGGGGAGAGGGTTCTCCAGTCCTCCCATGGGCTCAGGAGCTTTGTGACGTGGTGGCTAAAAGCACAGACTTAGGCCGGGCATGGTGGCTCGCACCTGTAATCCCGGCACTTTGGGAGGCCAAGGTGGATGCATCACCTGAAGTCAGGAGTCCAAGACCAGCCTGACCAACATGGAGAAACCCCATCTCTACTAAAAACACAAAATTAGCCGGGCATGGTGGCACATGCCTGTAATCCCAGCTACTCGGGAGGCTGAGGCAGGAGAATAGCTTGAACCTGGGGGGCGGAGGTTGCAGTGAGCTGAGATTGTGCAATTGCACTCCAGTCTGGGCAACAAGAGCGAAACTCCGTCTCAATAAGTAAATAAATAAATAAAAATAAAAGCACAAACTTTGGAGTGGATGCTTTGATCTCATTTCTCACGACCTATGCATGTGTGACCCCCAGCAAATGCCTAAGGAGTCTGAGCCTCAGTTTCCCCATCTGTCAAGTGGCAGCTGCCTCCTATCCACTTGAGGCACATATGGCAAGGCCCTGGGCCCAGCACGGGGTGCACCCTGATGCCTGGAAGCCCTGCTCATCCTGGGGCAGGTGGCGTTGGACTTTGCATCTAGGAGATGAGGAGGCTTTGGAGAAACAAGCAGGAACCCCCACGGCACCCCAGCGCTGCCCGTCAGAGAAGTGGTTGGTCCATCTTACAGAGAGAGAGAGAGGCTGGTGTTCAAAACCACATGCCGTCCTCCCAATGAGCTATTGCCAGGGTGCAGGATTCTGGCCTCCAAGACCCTCCCTGCCCACCATCTTCAGATGAAGAATGTTCTGGGCTTCAAGGCAGCACCAAAGCACCAGTGAAGCAGGGGAAGGGCGAGCACCTACTGTGTGCCCGGCGCTGGGCCCACTTTGCACACGACCCTCATTTAAGCAGCCTGTCTTGGCAGCTAGCTGAACCCAGTGAGCATTGATGCACCCTCTTCTCTGTGTCTGAGAGGAGCTGTAGGGGCCAGAGAGGGTAAGCGAGGCTGTCCTGGACTCAGGTACCTGAGTACCACCAGGGGAAGGGGCATGCCCACACTGGCTACAGTCCCAGGTGGGGTCAGGTGTGTGCCACCAGACACAACATAAACCAGGTATGGTGGAGCCAGGAGGGGAATAGGCCCTGGCCAGAGCATCTTGCTTGAGGCCTCAGTGTGGTCTGCACTGAGCAGACCTGGGTTTTGCCCATGCCCCACCAGCAAGTGGCTTCACCCTGCGCATCAGTTTCCTTATCTGTAAATAGTGTATTTCTCACCTGGTTGCTAAGGAGACTAAATGGGAAAAGCACACGTCAAACATTCAGATCAGGGCTTGGCCCATAAACGCTTAAAACTGTGTTGCTCATCATCATTGTTGGGCCAGTTTGGTGATCGGGATGGGTTGTGGTCAGCAGGGAGGCTGAGGTCTGAGCCTGGAGGGGGATGCAGGAGCTTAGGCTACTCCAAGGGGAGGCTTTTCCAAGGAGACTTGGCTGAGTGGGGCTGACTTTCTGGCTACCCTTGGGAGGGTGGAAACCTCCTTACCTGCAGCTCTGGCAAGCTGGGGCCCTTCGCAGTGCTCCTGCTCCCCAGGGGGCCCGTCTGCTCCAGGCCTGCCAGAGTTGCGGTCGCTGGTCCTCTTGTCACTTTGATCTTTGGCCACTGGGTGGAGGTGCAGGCAGGGCTGGGCAGCTGGACCGGGCTCTGGGACTGCAGTGCGGGGCTGTGTCCATTGACTGGGGTGGCCTCGGCCCAGCCTTCTGGCTGGCTGTGTGACTCCTGCTCAGGGACATCGTTTGTGCCTGGGGGACCCAGCTCTGGCCCTAAAGCCCTGGCCAGGTCATCCCTGTGTCCAGCTGGGTCCTTGCGGGGCAGCCTGGCCTGCAGGAGCTCCAAGAGGCCCTCCCAGTCCAGGCTGGGGACACGGGCCCAGACCCCCTCTCCTGGTGCCCGGAGAAGGCCAAGCAGATCCCTCCAGTCAAGCTCGGGTCGCCTCTCAGAGCCACGCGGGTATGGACACGCTCCCTCTGCCCCCCAGCCCACAGCAGTGGGTGTCCCAGAGTGCCAGGATTGTGAGGACTCTGCGGGGCCTCCCCAGTTCTCAGGGGGGCTCGTGAGTGGGCTTCTCTTTCCTAGTTCTCTGGGGAGCTCATGAGTGGGCTTCTCCTCCCAGGCCTCTGGCTGCCCCCAGCTCTCCTTGTACTCCCTGGAAGTGCCCCCCCATGCTCCCTCCGGGGCTTTGGCTGCCCCCAGGCTGGGCTCTCCACATCCCCACCAGCCCCCAGGGCCCAGGCCTCCCTCCTGGCTGCTCCAGCTCCTTTCTAGGTGTCTATGAGGGCCCTGGGACCCTGGCGGTTCCTCCTGACTCTGCCACACCCCCAGAGGCTGTCTTGGGCCTGCTTGGCCACTCTCCAGAGGTCTCTGTGTCCGCAGCTCCCTCTCAGGGGTCCTGGCTGATGTCCTGGGGGGCAGCGGGGACCCCTGGAGCTGCCGATCTCCCTCAGGTCTCTTCTCAGGACTCCAAGGATGAGGGGGCTCTGCTTGGCTCCGCCGGGTCAGTTCTGCCTGTTTGGCAGGGAGCATGGTCACCTGGGGATGAGGTGAGGGGGTAGGTGAGGCTCTCTCTCTGGGGACCTGGCTGCCAGCTCTGCCTTTCTTAGGCCCCCAGAGAGTCAAGGCTGTGTCCACACAGCAGCCTGAATCAAAGCAGGCCAAAAAGTACACAGGGTCTCTGCCCCACCCCTCCGGGGTCAGCTCCTCCCTTTCACCCGCTTTCCTCAGTTCCAGAAAAAGATCTGCAAAGACCTGCCCCCGTTCTTGGCTTCTCACCCCTCTCAAAGATACTGATTCCAACTTGGGCTATCAGGTGCCAGAACCTCCACCACCAATACCCCATTCCACTGAGGCGGGCCTAGCCCTCTGGGTTTGGTTAAAGATACAAATTACCCTGAAAGAGAGGGCCCTTAGAGCCAGATTCTTGCTTCAAGGCTTTCCCTGAAATCTGCTCAAGACAGCAGTATTGGCCAGGTGCCGTGGTTCACGCCTGTAATCCCAGCACCTTGGGAGGCCAAGGTGGGCGGATCACTTGACGTCAGGAGTGACCAGCCTGGCCAACATGGTGAAACCCTGTCTCTACTAAAAGTACGAAAATTAGTTGGGTGTGGTGGCACACGCCTGTAATCCCAGCTATTTGGGAGGCTGAGGTAGAAGAATCACTTGAACCTGGGAGGCAGAGGTTGCAGTGAGCCAATATTGTCCCACTGCACTCCAGCCTGGGAGACAGTGCAAGACTCCATCTCAAAAAAAAAAAAAAAAAAAAAAGACAGCAGTGCTTAGTAAAGGAAGGGGATAGCGTGGGAGAGGGGCTATCTTCAAAGGATTAATGTGGGGTCTTGTGCATTTTGCCAAGAGCTGCTGGCCGTTGGGGAGAGGGGAGAGCTGGATCCCCATGATTGGACTCCGACCCTTTCATAGAGGACCTTCCTGTCCAAGCCCCCTGCCTGGCTTCTAGCGGGAGGGAAGAGGCAGTGGCCGCCCCTTGGGGTGCGGGGCCCCAGACAGCTGGCAGTGCTCACCTGCCTGCTGGGGGCAGGGCTGGACTGTCTTCGGAGAAGTTGGCTCTGGCCTTGGCTGGGCTGCTGTGACCGTCCCTCGTCCTGGGCCTGGAAGGCCCCCGCTGCCTCGGACTTCCTATGAGCAAATGCAGCCACTCCTCTGAGGGACTGTCCCACTCCCAGCACCCCAGCCCCTCTGCTCCCACCTCCAACAGGAGGAGATGTGGGACAGCCAGGGACCCACTGCAAGCTCGTTGAAGGGCCCTAAGTGAGGATGACTCTCAGGGCCTTAGTTTCCCCTTCTGAAAAATGGGGATGGTTAACACTGCTCTATTCTGCCTCATGAGGCTCTTGCGAACATGACGAGAAAAGTGGGGAGTAGAGGCGGTTGGGTGGGGAGGGGGATCTGGCCCTGGCCATGGCCCTCTCCTGTCTCATCCAGTACTTCCTATGACTAACCACCACCCCACCAGCAGCCCAAGAGCCACCCCCAGACAAAGGTTAGACTGGTCTTTGCGGGAATTAAGATTTATTGAGCACCTACTGTGTACCAGGCACTGGGCACACATAATCATTATGACAAAGCATTTATTGAGTGCTTCTTATGTTCCAGGGGCCAAGCACTTGTATCATGATCGCAGCCCACGAGGTGGGACGACAGAGCCAGACTGCTGTGTGCCCCCGTGTTCCATTCTTTCTGCCTTTTCCTGTCCATATTGTAAATTTTGGATTTCTTTTCCTTTTTCCCTCCCATCACTGTTAACCAACAGAATCCCAGCGCTTAGCCTTGAAAACTCCAGGCCATCCTAGCTGTTGGCAAAAGAGCTCTGAGCAAGATCAGAAGAAAGAAACATTCTCCCTGACAACTTCAGAGAGGCCAACATAAACTGTCCAAGCAAGTGTCTTTTTTTTTTTTTTTTTTTTGAGATGGAGTCTCGCTCTGTCACCCAGGCTGGAGTGCAGTGGCGCGATCTCGGCTCACTGCAACTTCCATCTCCCGGGTTCAAGTGATTCTCTGCCTTAATCTCCCAAGTAGCTGGGATTACAGGCATGAGCCACCACGCCTGACCCTGGGCAAGTGTTGTTTCTAAGACACTGGGCTTCAGGCATTGTTGACGCATCCGATGAAGATCATCTCTAACTTGTGTAAAAAGTCTAGTTCCAGTTAGTTGTCTTGCTTACTAACTGGGAGGCATGGCTGTTAATGATTAACGTGGTATCTCTATTGACAGGTAGAAACACCAAACAGAACCTGGGCATATCTCTCCCTTCCTCTACCTAAGGGGTCACAACAAAAGGCCCAACCACTCCATGAATGTTTATTTTGGTTGGGTCTCAGTTAGCAAATGGAGCCATGTCTTTGGTCGATGAACTGAACCAGGAAGAGAAGCCTGAAAAAGGCCACCCTGTGGTGGACCCAGAGTGAGGCAGCAAAAAGGGAAGTATGAGGAAACTCTGCTCAGGCCTCCATAGGCCCTGCTGTCTGTGGTGGGCCTGTGCCTGAGGAGCCATGCTGGAACGACACCTTCAAAAGTATGGGATTGGGCAGGGCGCAATGGGTCACGCCTGTAATCCCAGAACTTTGGGAGGCTGAGGCAGGCGGATGGCTTGAGCTCAGGAGTTCAAGACCAGCCTAGACAACATAGTGAAACCTAGTCTCTAAAAATACAAAAATTAGCCCAGGTGTGGTGGCTCATGCCTCTAATCACAGCACTTTGGGAGGCTGAGGTGGGTGGATCACTTGAGGTCAGGAGTTCGAGACCAGCCTGGTCAACATAGTGAAACCCAATCTCTACTAAAAATACAAAACTTAGCCAGGCGTGGTGGCACGTGCCTGTAATCCCAGCTACTCAGGAGGCTGAGGCAGGAGGATCGCTTGACCCCAGGAGGTGGAGGTTGCAGTGAGCTGAGATCGCGCCACTGCACTCCAGCCTGGGTGACATAGTGAGACCCTGTCTCAAAAAATATATATATATATATATGGGGTTGGGAGGCCAGGTACAGTGTCTTTACACCTGTAATTCCAGCACTTGGGGAGGCTGAGGTCAGAGGATCACTTGAGTCGAGGAGTTTGAGACAGCCCTGGCAACAGAATGAGACCTTGTTCTAGGAAAAAAAAATTTTTTTAATGAGCCGAGCATGGTGGTACGTGGCTGTAGTCCCAGCTACTTGGGAAGCTGAGGTGGGAGGATCGCTTCAGCCTGGGAGGTTGAGGCTGCAGTGAGCCATGATCATGCCACTGCATTCCAGCCTGGGTGAAAGAGCAAGATCCTGTCTCAAAAAAAAAGTATGGGGTTGGAGTTTTTTGTTGTTTCATGTCTTTTGCCAATGTCATTAGAATCAGAGCCATAAAGCACAATAATGTTAGTTGTTAGCAGTTATTGGCAGCTGGTTCGGAGAGGAACCAAAGTTCCCTGGAGGAAGTGTTTCTGAGCTTGAGGGCTCCCTGGGCAGGCTGTTTGTAACTTTTTTTTTTTTTTTTTTTTTGAGATGGAGTCTCGCTCTGTCACCCAGGCTGGAGTGCAGTGGTGCAATCTCAGCTCACTGCAACCTCCGCCTTCTGGTTTTAAGTGATTTTCCTGCCTCAGCCTGCTGAGCAGCTGGGATTACAGGTGTCCACCACCATGCCCAGCTAATTTTTATATTTTTAGTAGAGACGGGGTTTCACCATGTTGGCCAGGCTGGTCTCATTTTGAACTCCTGACCTCAGGTAATCCACCTGCCTTGACCTCCCAAAGTCTTGGCATTACAAGCATGAGCCACTGCACCCAGCCAATTTGTAATCTAATTGGAGGTGAGTGCGTTTCCTTACTCTGTGAGAGCTGAAGGCCTTAGAGTGAATTTTCCCCCGAACTGGGGTATAGGAGCTTCGATGAAGCAAGAGCCCAGACGTGACCCAGTGGGCTGTTCCTCCCTAATGGGGAGGACCAGGAGGACAATAGTGGAAACACCCGGTGCAGGGAAGCAAGGCACTTGTGTGTTCTCTTCCGGATGGATGCATTTTCCATACGAACTCCAGCTTGCTTGATGAGCATTCCTCCTGAGAACTCGCCTTCCTTTTTTCCCCCATGTAGAACTGAGAGAAAAGAGTGAGGGACTCAAGAAGATTCTGAAACCCCAACAGAGACCTGGCTTGTCCGATGCTGAAGCAACAGCGTCTCCTCGGGGCCACCTGTTCCCGAGGGTTGATGTGGCCGCACCAAGCATGACAAAGGAAACGTTTCCTTCGGAAGCTTAGATGGGTTCTTCGACCTCCAGAGAGAATTAAAGGAGCAAAGCCATCAAGTCTAGCAAATCCAGTGAAGGCTAGGTTTTGAATTCAAATGACCACAGGATGCTACGTGACTCTAAGAGATGCCAAAGGCATCTAAGGAAAAAAAAATTAAGATCAAGCCAAAACTCCCAATGCTTTGATGTGACAACCCTTTAAGAAAAATTTTCCAGACTCGGGACAATGCTTGGACAGAGTAGATGCTCAATAAATACATATCGATGAGGAAATAGGAGAAAATAAAAGCACACTCCTACAGCCACCCGCTCATAAGCTCCAGTCTGTCCCTTACACACACACTGCACAGTTTTAAAATTTTCCATATTCAGAGGATGAATGGTTTTCTACTTGGAAAAGGTGCCAGATAAGAGGAAAAATTTTAATTATTCAGTAAAATTATGAAAACTTCCCTAAAAGGTAAATAAGCTATTTCAAAGAGAGTAGAATTAAATGTATAGGAGTGATCGTGTAAAAACAAATGGTTAATAAAAGTGTAAACATATTTCTCATTTCTATTATTAATATAAACACCTTATCTCTCTGAAATTATCCTGGAAAAAAGGAAAGAAAATTAATTAACTTTGGCTTAAAGACCTTAATGTCCCTGCTGAGTTATTAGTTAAGACAAAGTTAGGAAAATTGACATTAGACAAGAAATAGTAATCATAAAAAGGTCAAAGACACTTTGGGAGGCCAAGGTGGGAGCATTGCTTGAGGCCAGGAGTTTGAGACCAACCTGGGCAACAAAGTGAGACTCCATCTCTACAAAAAGTAGAAAAATTAGCTGGGTATAGTGGTACACGCCTGTAGTCCCAGCTACTGAGGAGGCTGAGGTGAGAGAATCGCTTGAGCCTGGCAGTTTGAGGCCGCAGTGAGCCATGATCACGCCACTGCACTACTGCTGGGTGACAAAGCAAGACCCTGTTTCAAAAAAAAAAAAGGTCAGACCAGGCACGGTGGCTCACGCCTATAATCCCAGCACTTTGGGAGGCCGAGGTGGGTAGATTGCCTGAGCTCAGGAGTTCAAGACTAGCCTGGGCAACAGGGTGAAACCCTGTCGCTACTAAAAATACAAAAAAATTAGCCGGATGTGGCGGCATGCTCCTGTAGTCCCAGCTCCTCGGGAGGCTGAGGCAGGAGAACTGCTTGAACCCAGAAGGCAGAGGTTGCAGTGAGCCAAGATTGCACTACTGCACTCCAGCCTGGGTGACAGAGCGAGACTCCATCTCCAAACAAAAAAAAAAGTTAAAGACACTGAAGACTTTCAGGGTGAAACTACTCCATGATGTTACAATGGTGGATACTTGTCATACATTCATTCAAGCCTATAGGCTGTACATCACCAAGAGTGAACCCTAAACTTTGGGTGATTTCATAGTGTAGGTTCATGGATTGTAACAAATGTATCACCCTACTGCCCAGTACAGTGGCTCACCAGCACTTTGAGAGGCCAAGAAAGGAGGATCCCTTGAGGCCAGGAGCTGGAAACAAGCATACCTATCTAGTACAGGATATTGGTAGTGGGAGAGGCTGTGCATGGAACACTGCACTTTCTGCTCAATTTTGCTGTAAACCTAAAACTGCTCTGGGTTTTTGTTTTTAAGGCCAAAGAAAGAATTATACTAATGCTGGAGACCACACGGTTGTCATCTGGATATTAAATGATCAAGCTTACTGGAAAAGGAAATTTGAAGAACAAGAGATAAAGTTTCTTTTTTTTCTTTTTTTGAGATGGAGTTTCACTCTTGTTGCCCAGGCTGGAGTGCAATGACGCAATCTCAGCTCACTGCAAACTCCACCTCCCAAATTCAGGCAATACTGCTGCCTCAGCCTCCTGAGTAGCTGGGACTACAGGCGTGTGCCACTATGCCCGGCTAATTTTTTTTTTTTTTTTTTTTTTTGAGACGGAGTCTCACTCTGTCACCCAGGCTGGAGTGTAGTGGCATGATCTTGGCTCACTGCAAGCTCCAGTGCTGGGATTACAGGAGGGAGCCACTGCACCCAGCCAAGACTGATAAGGTTTCTCATGCAGATTCAAATCCAGGAGAAAACTTTCCCAAGGAGCAGCAAAGAGGAATTTTAGATACAAAATATTCCATACCCTTTAGGGTGATGAAAATGTTCTAAAGTTAGATTGTGGCAATGGTTGGACAACTTGGTAAATAAACTAAAAATTCGTTGAATTATATACATGGAAAGTTTTGAGACTTCCAGACTGCTTTTTGTTGCTGTTGTTCTCTTGACCCTAACTAATGGAATTCTAGCTCTGATTCTTGAAAACTCGAGGGCTGGAACTTCTGGGGAGAGAAACCTCAGCCTGATCAGGAGGAAATGCTCCCCTTCCAGGGGGCCAGTGCTGCTGACCAAGGAGACTCAAAAGACACCTGGACTTCAGGTGTCCCAGGATGTTTGACTGCTAAAAATCCATAATTCTGTGAGCTTTCTTTCTTAAAATAGGTAGCTCTGGCCATACATTTTTATTTTATTTTTATTTTTAGATGGAGTCTCACTCTGTCACCCAGGTTGGAGTGCAGTGGTACGATCTCGGCTCACTGCAAGCTCCGCCTCCCAGGTTCAAGCAATTCTCCTGCCTCAGCCTCCCGAGTTGCTGGGACTACAGGCGCCCGCCACCATGCCCAGCTAATTTTTTGTATTTTTAGTAGAGATGGGGTTTCACCGTGTTAGCCAGGCTGCTGTCGATCTCCTGACCTTGTGATCCGCCCGCCTCGGCCTCCCCAAGTGCTGGGATTACAGGCATGAGCCACCGTGCCCGGCCCTGGCCATACATTTTAAATTGACATAACTGTTTTCTGAAATGCATAGGGACCCATGAGTTTTCTTTGCCAAGGCAGGAAAAAATCATGGGTACTTTCTTCTTCTCCCTCATGCACGGAAGAAAAAAAAAAAAAACCCATGAGTCTGGATCAAAGGGTTTGAGAGTTCACTCTCATTTTGGCCGGGCACGGTGGCTCACTCCTGTAATCCTAGCACTTTGCGAGGCCGAGGCGGGTGGATCACTTGAGGTCAGGAGTTCGAGACCAGCCTGGCCAATATGGCGAAACCCCGTCTCTAGTAAAAATACAAAAAAATTAGCCGGGTGTGGTGGCACGTGCCTGTAATCCCAGCTACTCGGGAGGCTGAGGCAGGAGAATCGCTTGAACCCAGGAGGTGGAGGTTGCAGTGAGCCGAGATTGCACCATTGCGCTCCGGCCTGGGCAACAAGAGCAAAACTCCACCTCAAAAAAAAAAACAAAAAATAAAAAATAAAAAGACAGTTCACCCTTATTTGAATGAATGTGCTCATGTTCCCCTCCCTTACAGATGAGGAAACTGAGGCTCAGGTAGGTTAACTCACTATATCAGGTCATACGAGTTGACATGTGGCTTTGACCCAGGATTTGGACTCAGCCCTCCTGACTGCAGTCTTTGCTGTTAACCACTGGGCTGTGCATGACATCACTTAACCACACACACACACAAAACAGAAAACTCCCAATATGCAGAAACAGAGAAATGGAGCGATTTGCCCAAGGTCACACAGCCGGTAAATGGCAAGCCAGGGGGATTTGAACACTTTCTTTTGGCACCCTAACCCTTCACCTGTCCTGCTGCCGAGCCTCCTCCCCAGCCCACCTGGCTGACCCCACCCCCGGGCTCACCTGCGCTCTTGCCCGAAGAGGCGCTCCACCTCTGCACGGCCAGGGCTGTGGGTGCGGCCCCCGCTGCTGCACTGCGCCTGGGGCCCTGGCTGTCTCTGGGCCAGCCTCCTGGGTGGGGGCAGGTCGGCCAGCACAGTGTACTCCTCCCGCTCCAAGTTGTGCCTGGTCTCCCCGGGAGGCGCTGAGCCCCGGGAGCCCCCAGAGCTGCCCGGTGAAGGTGAGGGTGCCAGGAACGCTAGGTCACTGGGTGGGTGGCGGGGTGGGGAGGAGGCTCGGGGTGCATCCCGGTGCCCGATGCACACTTGGGGGATCAGCACTGGGGAGCCATGCAGAGAGTCAGTGGAGGGGGCCAGGCTCTCCATACTAGTTCCAGGGGGATCCTGGAAGAAGAGGGATGGCTCAGGAGCCTGGCGTGGTGGGGATGAGAAGGAGGGTGCATCCCGGTGCCCAATGCACACAGGGGTGGGGATGTGGGGGCACTCGTGCAGAGAGTCCATGGAAGGGACAAGGCTCTCTGTGCTGGCCCTGGGGAGGTCCTGGAATAAGAGGGAAGGCTCTGGGGCCTGGCGTGGTGGGGAGGAGGCCCGGGGTGCATCTCGGTACCCAATACACACAGGTGCAGGGAGCTGAAGGGGCTCGTGTTGGGGGGACTGACACTGATGCTCGGCATCTGATGTGTCTGGGAGGAAGGGGAAGGGGTCAAATTGGGTGTGGCGGGGGGGCGAGGACGCCCGGGGGGCATCTCGGTGTCCAATGCACACAGCAGGTGGTATATAGGGAGGCTCGTGGTGGGGCGGTTCACTCTCAGGGGCGCGGGGCTCTGGGAAGAAGGGGAAGGGGTCGTGCTGCAAATAGCGAGGGGGCGAAGAGGCTCGAGGGGCATCCCGGTGCCCAATGCACACAGCACATGGAGGCTGGGAGGGCTCAGGAGAGGTCAGGGGAGCCCCATAGGCAGCGGGGTACACAGGTGAGGAAGTTCGGGAGGTGCTCTGGTGGCCTGGGTTATGGGAGGAAGAGGTGGCCCGGGATGGCAAGTTGTACTGGGTGGGGCCAAAGGAGGACTGGGGTGGGTCATGCTGGGCTGGCCTGCTGGGAGAGGATGTCTGAGGCCTGTCACCTTGGGTTGGCCGGAGGGCGATGGATGCCCAGGGAACCTCGCTTTGCTTGGAGCGAGATGGGGAAGAGGTTCGGGGACCATCACTCTGAGTTGGCCGGAGGGGAAACGAGGCCCAGGGGATGTCTTTGTTAGTACGATGGGGAGATGAATTCCTGGGATTGTTCCATTGAGTGGAGCGGTGGGGAGATGATGGTCTCAGATTCTCCTTTTGGGTGCAGCATTGAGATGAGGAGGTTCCAGGGTTGTCTCGTTGAAAGGAAAAGGACTGTGTGCGGTCCCGCTGTGTACAAGTGGGTCTGAGGTTATCTCGTTTGGTACAAGAGGTTTTAGGGTTGTCTTGTTGGGTAGAAGATGATCTGGGGATGTTCTGTTGAATACAAGTTCTGGGGTTGTCCTGTTGGGTGGCTCTGATGGGAGAGGAGGCTCTGAGATTGTCCCGCTGGGCACAGGATGTTCTGGGGTTGTCTCGTGTGGCTCTATTGGGAGAGGAGGTCCTGGGATTGTCCTGTCGGGTACAGGATGTTCTGAGGTTCTCTTGTTGGATGGTTCTGTTAGGAGAGGAGGCTCTGGGATTGTCCCGCTGGGCACAGGATGTTCTGGGGTTGTCTCGCTGGATGGTTCTGTTGCGAGAGGAGGCTCTGGGATTGTCCCGTCGGGCACAGGATGTTCTGGGGTTCTCTTGTTGGGTGGTTCTGTTAGGAGAGGAGGCTCTGGGATCGTCCCGTTGGGCACAGGATGTTCTGGGGTTCTCTTGTTGGATGGTTCTGCTGGGAGAGGAGGCTCTGGGATTGTCCCGTAGGGCACAGGATGTTCTGGGGTTCTCTTGTTGGATGGTTCTGTTAGGAGAGGAGGCTCTGGGATCGTCCCGTCGGGCACAGGATGTTCTGGGGCTGTCTTGTTGGGTGGTTCTGTTGGGAGAGGAGGCTCTGGGATTGTCCCGCTGGGCACAGGATGTTCTGGGGTTATCTCGTGTGGCTCTATTGGGAGAGGAGGTTCTGGAGGCTCTGGGATTGTCCCGCTGGGCACAGGATGTTGTGGGGTTGTCTCGTGTAGCTCTATTGGGAGAGGAGGCTCTGGGATTGTCCCGCTGGGCACAGGATGTTCTGGGGTTGTCTCGTGTGGCTCTATTGGGAGAGGAGGTTCTGGAGGCTCTGGGATTGTCCCGCTGGGCACAGGATGTTGTGGGGTTGTCTCGTGCAGCTCTATTGGGAGAGGAGGCTCTGGGATTGTCCCGCTGGGCGCAGGATGTTCTGGGGTTGTCTCGTGTGGCTCTATTGGGAGAGGAGGTTCTGGAGGCTCTGGGATTGTCCCGCTGGGCACAGGATGTTGTGGGGTTGTCTCGTGTAGCTCTACTGGGAGAGGAGGCTCTGGGATTGTCCCGCTGGGCACAGGATGTTCTGGGGTTGTCTCGTGTGGCTCTATTGGGAGAGGAGGTTCTGGAGGCTCTGGGATTGTCCCGCTGGGCACAGGATGTTGTGGGGTTGTCTCGTGTAGCTCTACTGGGAGAGGAGGCTCTGGGATTGTCCCGCTGGGCGCAGGATGTTCTGGGGTTGTCTCGTGTGGCTCTATTGGGAGAGGAGGTTCTGGAGGCTTTGGGATTGTCCCGCTGGGCACAGGATGTTCTGGAATTCTCTCGTTGAGTGGTTCTGTTGGGAGAGGAGGCTCTGGGATCGTCCTGCTGGACACAGGGTGTCCTGGGGTTTTCCCGCTGGGGAGTACAAGTAGGAAAAGAAGTTTGGGGGTTGTCCTGCTGGGTAGAAGAGGTTCTGGGGTTATCCAGTTGGGTGCTTCGTGAGGGAGAGGAAGCTCTGGGGGTGTTCCACTGTGTAGATGAGGCCCTGGGGGTGTCCTCTTGGGTGGATGAGGCCCTAGGGGTGTCCTCTTGGGTGGATGAGGCCCTGGAGGTTTCCTGTTGGGTGGATGAGGCCCTGGAGATTTCCTGTTGGGTGGATGAGGCCCTGGAGGTGTCCCTTTGGGTGATTCGATGGGGAGAGGAGGCTCTGGGGATTTCACGTGTAGAGGCAGCCTGAGCAGTGTCCCTTTGGGCAGGAGAAGCCTGAGACGTGGTGCTTCGAGGTCCACTGTGTGGTGTCATGGAGGAAGCCTGGGTCAGTGTTGACCGGTGCCGCTCCAGGGACAACCCGCTTTCTCCCCGGAGCCTTGCCCAGTGCTGTCCTGCGCTCCGGCCCCCACCGCCGGTGTCTGGAGAGAGAAGAGAGGGGCTCAAGGTAAGGGGAGAGGTCCAGGCAGCTCTCATATTCTACCTTTCTTTGTCCCTTAGGACCAGTGATTAGGGCAAACCCCACACCCTCCTCCTACAGGTCTCACTGTCTGTACCAAGTGACTCCACCTCTCTGACCAAGGCTGATTAGACAAGGGCTTGGATGCCTCTCTCAAGCTGAGGTCAAGAATTTGAAATTGAGACCCTGACTCACTCAAGAGATGGGTTCAAGAACTGGAAGGCCACAGGGTCTGGGGATCCACGGACAAGACAGAGAAGAAGCAAATTTGTGGAGAGAAGTGTTGACAATGGCCTGTGTGACCCCAGGGAGGGAGAGGTGGGCCCAACAGCAGCCACCTGACAGTCTTCCCTTCCCAGTTCTATTTCCTTCAATCAGAATCCAAGGAATTCCCCCCATTTCTTGTTTTGTTTTGTTTTTGAGTCAGAGTCTCGCTCTGTCGCCCAGGCTGGAGTGCAGTGGCGTGATCTCGGCTCATGGCAACCTCCGCCTCCCAGGTTCAAGCCATTCTCCTGCCTCAGCCTCCCGAGTAGCTGGGATTACAGGCATGCGCCACCATGCCCAGCTAATTTTTGTATTTTTAGTAGAGACGGGGTTTCACCATGTTGGCCAGGCTGGTCTCGAACTCCTGACCTCAGGTGATCCGCTCACCTCGGCCTCCCAAAGTGCTGGGATTACAGGCGTGAGCCACCATGCCCGACCTTTTTTTTTTTTTTTTTGAGACAGAGTCTCGTTCTGTCACCCAGGCTAGAGTGCAATGACGCGATCTCGGCTCACCGCAACCTAAGCCTCCTGGGTTCAAATGATTCTCCTGCCTCAGCCTCCCAAGTAGTTGGGATTACAGGCATGCACCACTATGCCCAGCTCATTTTTGTGTTTTTAGTAGAGACAGGTTCTAATGAGCCTGTTTCCTGTGCGACAGCTCTAGAAAGCCCCTGTTTTTTTGTATCCAAATGTTCCTACCCTGAGGCTTCTCCTAGGGCTGCCATGAGGATAGGAAAGGTGCAGGGATGGACAACCTTTTATAAACTGGTAGCTGGGAGTTTGCCAGAAATGCAGAATCTCAGGTCCCAGCCCAGATGCACTGCTTCTGGATCTGCATTTAACAAAACTGTCTGGTGATTTGTACACCTTATAGTTTCAGAAGCACTGGCCTAAAGGATTAATGTAACTGTCCTCAGTAGTGACCCTCTTTGCAACTCCTAGCCTCATGACAGAGTTGCCATGACCTTGGTGTGTCACCCTCCACCCCGCTCAATCCCTCGGTCACCAAGCAGGTGTTGAGCACCCCTATGTACATGTCCCTTGGCTACTGCTTTAGGTGAAGAGTAAAGGGTATCATGGCCTCATCTTAAAGGAGCCACAACTATGGGTGTGGTGGCTTACACCTGTAATCCCAGCACTTTGAGAGGCCAAGGTGGGAGGATCACTCGAGCTCAGGAGTTCCAGACCAGCCTAGGCAACATGGCGAGACCCTGTCTCTACTACAAGTTTTTTAAAACTTAGCAGGGCCTGGTGGTACGTGCCTGTAGTCCCAGCTACCTAGGAGGCTGAGGCCGGAGGAGTGCCTGAGCCCAGGAGGTGGAGGTTGCAGTGAGCCAAGAATGTGCCATTGCCCTCCAGCATGGGCAACAGAGCAAGACATTGTCTTAAAACAAAAAACGAAACAAAAAAGTAGCCACAGTTGCCTTCATGCAGATCCCCTCCCTTCACGCCTTCTTAAGATCCCCTGTCCTCTCCCTTTGCAGCCACTGCCTCGTCCAGCCTCTCTGGGCTGGTGTTGGTGAAAGTCTGAGTTCCCAGCACCTAGCAGGGAATTCAAAATTTGCAAGGTTGCCAGGCACGGTGGCTCACGCCTGTAATGCTAACACTTTGGGAGGCCAAGGCGGGTGGATCATCTGAGGTCAGGAGTTCGAGACCAGCCTGGCCAACATGGTGAAACCAGTCTCTACTAAAAATACAAAAATTAGCTGGATGCAGCCGGGAGCAGTGGCTGATGCCTGTAATCCCAGCACTTTGGGAGGCCGAGGCGGGCGGATCACAAGGTCAGGAGATCGATACCAGCCCTGCTAACACGGTGAAACCCCATCTCTACTAAAAATACAAAAAAAAAAAAAAAAAATTAGCCGGATGCAGTAGTGCATGCCTGTAATCCCAGCTACTCGGGAGGCAGAGGCTGGAGAATTGCTTGAACCCGGGAGGTGGAGGTTGCAGTGAGCTGAGATCTGGCCACTGCACTCCAGCCTGGGTGACAGAGCGAGACTCTGTCTCAGAAAACAAAAAACAAAAAAAATTGCTGGTGGCTGATGTCCCATGGCATTCTAAAATACGTTTCATGCCTGGTAGTGGCTCACACCTGTAATTCCAACATTTCGGGAGGCTGAGGCAGGAGGATTGCTTGAGCCCAGGAGTTGGAGACCAGCCTGGGCAACATAGTGAGCCCCCATCTCTACGAAAAATAAAATAAATACATTCCATATTCACCTGTTTCTCTCATCTACACCCACTTCCTACTCCAAGCCACCACTATTTCTCTCCTGGATGGTTGCAGTAGCCCCCAAGCCTGGGCACTCTGGGGCCAATGTCATTGTTCATCCAGGGAGACTTTTTTTAAAGTCAAAGGTGAGCAGATCGCTGTGCCCCCAGCCTTCAGGGGAAACTGGAAGAGATGGGAAACCTGTCACAGATTGGAGGAGACGGAGGAGATGAGGAGAGGGACTAAAGGCAATGTGGGATCCTGGAATGGATCCTGGAACAGAAAAAGGATATTAGTAGAAAAACTGGTGAATCCCATCACGTCTGTAGCTTAGTTAATAGTATTGTAGCAGTGGGCCGGGCACGGTCACTCACGCCTGTAATCCCAGCACTTTGGGAAGCCGAGGCAGGCGGATCAGCGGATCACCTGAGGTCGGGAGTTCGAGACCAGCCTGACCAACATGGAGAAACCCCGTCTCTACTAAAAATACAAAATTAGCCGGGCGTGGTGGTGCATGCCTGTAATCCCAGCTACTTGGGAGCCTGAGGCAGGAGAATGGCTTCAACCTGGGAGGTGGAGGTTGCAGTGAGCCGAGACTGCGCCATTGTACTCCAGCCTGGGCAACAAGAGTGAAACTCTGTCTCAAAAAAAAAAAAAAAAAAAAAAAAAAGGGCGGGGGGGGATGAGTGAAACAGTGAGTGCAGTGTGGGGCCTGAGGTGTGATTAACGCAGTAGAGGGCTGGGTTGTATAAATTGGCAGGTTCAGGGGAGAAATCAAGGCCAGAGATGTGGACTCCGGAGTCATGGTTTTTCCCAGACAGTACCGAAAGCCAAGCAGCTAAGTGTGCAGGGAGAAGACAGAAGGGGCCCAGGACTGGGATGTGGGGCATCAGATATTTAAAAGTGAAGCAGAGGAGGCGGCCTCAGCAAAGGAGAGCGAGGTGGAGTGGCCCGTGAGGAAGGAGGCAGACCAGGAGTGAGGGATCGGGGAGCCCAGAGTGATTCTGTGCAAGACATTTATTTAGCACAAGGCCTGGAACATCAAAAAAACAGGTCACTGCTGTAATGCTGCTGCTGTTCTCATTGCTGCCTCATCTATTCAGCCATGATTGACTTGTGGGCAGTAAGTAAACGTCTGCTGAGTGCCTGAGTGAACATTGCTCCTCAGTTGAAGATGCCACATCTCCATCCCCTGCTTCCCTGAGCATCTGAAGCCTCAAAACCTCTTCCTCAGGGCTCGCAAATCCCACACAGCACAGCCAGCGCTGGGCCCATCCGCTCCCCAGCCACCTGCTCTCAGCAAAGGGCACACCATCTACCCAGACACCCAGGCCAGGAGCTGTGACTGTGTATCCTCCTGTCCAAAGTACCATCAAGTCTGCCTCCTAAACCTCTCTCCTTCTCTGTCCCCTCCTCACCCCACAACCATGGCCCTTATTTATTTATTTATTTATTTATTTATTTATTTGAGATGGAGTCTTATTCTGTTGCCCAGGCGGGAGTGCAGTGGGGCGATCTCAGCTCACGGCAACCTCCACCTCCCAAGTTCAAGCGATCCTCCTGCCTCAGCATCCCGAGTAACTGGGACTATAGGCGTGTCCCGGATCCCATCAGGCTCAACATGGTGAAACCCTGTCTCTACTAGAAATACAAAAAGTCAGCTGGGCGTGGTGGCAGGCACCTATAGTCCCAGCTACTCAGGAGACTGAGGCAGGAGAATCGCTTGAACCCAGGAGGTGGAGGTTGCAATGAGCTGAGATCGCGCCACTGCACTCCAGCCTGGGGAACAGAGCAAGACTCCATCTCAAAAAAAAAAAAAAAAAAAAACAAGCCCCAGTTGTCCCAGTAATGCCTGTCACAGCTCTGTGTCCTCCTGTCCCAGATCCCAATGGGCTCACACATGGCATTCCACGTCCTCATCCTGTTAGTCTCTTTTAATCAAGAAGAGTCCCCTAGCCGCTTTTTGTCCTATGAGGAGCCCAGTCATTTTGCAGAATGTCTTTCAATTCGGGTTTGTCTGATGTTTCACTGGGGTTAGGTGTAGGCAATGCATTTTCAGCAGGACGATTTAGAAGGGAAGGGATTCTGTGCCCACCCCAGCATCCCCTCCCCTGACCCCATGCATCATATCAGGGGGCATATTATGTTGGTTTGCCCCACTCTGGGGATGCTGAGCAGCCTCTTGGTGAAAGTGGTATCTTCCCGCTCTCCCCAGCCTAAGGGTGCCTTTCTCTCAGTAATCGATGCAGAATCTGAGGGGTGATACTGAGAGGTGACAGCATGCTGGCGGCCCTCACAGCCCTCGCTCACTCTCGGCGCCTCCTCTGCCTGGGCTCCCACTTTGGCGGCACTTGAGGAGCCCTTCAGGCCACCGCTGCACTGTGGGAGCCCCTTCCTGGGCTGGCCGAGGCCGGAGCTGGCTCCCTCAGCTTGCACGGAGGTGTGGAGGGAGAGGCGCGAGCGGGAACCGAGGCTGCGCGCGGCGCTTGTGGGCCAGCTGGAGTTCCGGGTGGGCGTGGGCTTGGTGGGCCCCGCACTCGGAGCGGCCGGCTGGCCCTGCCGGCCCCGGGCAATGAGGGGCTTAGCACCTGGGCCAGCGGCTGGGGAGGGTGTGCTGGGTCCCCCAGCAGTGCCCGCCCACCAGCGCTGCGCTGGATTTCTCGCCGGGCCTTAGCTGCCTTCCCACCGGGCAGGGCTCGGGACCTGCAGCCCGCCATGCCTGAGCTTCCCCCCGCCTCCGTGGGCTCCTGTGCAGCCCGAGCCTCCCCGATGAGCGCCGCCCCTGCTCCACAGCGCCCAGTCCCATCAACCACCCAAGGGCTGAGGAGTGTGGGCGCATGGCATGGGACTGGCAGGCAGCTCCACCTGCAGCCCCAGAACGAGATCCACTGGGTGAAGCCAGCTGGGCTCCTGAGTGTAGTGGGAACTTGGAGAACCTTTATGTCTAGCTAAGGGATTGTAAATACACCAATCAGCACTCTGTCTCTAGCTCAAGGTTTGTAAACACACCAATCAGCACCCTGTGTCTAGCTCAGGGTTTGTGAATGCACCAATCCACACTCTGTATCTAGCTACTCTGTTGGGGACTTGGAGAACCTTTGTGTGGACACTGTATCTAGCTAATCTAGTGGGGATGTGGAGAACCTTTGTGTCAAGCTCAGGGATTGTAAATGCACCAATCAGCGCCCTGTCAAAACAGACCACTCGGCTCTCTGTAAAATGGACCAATCAGCAGGATGTGGGTGGGGCCAGACAAGAGAATAAAAGCAGGCTGCCCCAGCCAGCTCTGGCAACCCGCTCGGGTCCTCTTCCATGCTGTGGAAGCTTTGTTCTTTCGCTCTTTGCAATAAATCTTGCTGCTGCTCACTCTTTGGGTCCACACTGCCTTTATGAGCTGTAACGCTCACCACGAAGGTCTGCAGCTTCACTCCTGAAGCCATCCAGACCATGAACCCACAGGGAGGAAAGAACAACTGCGGACGCGTCTCCTTAAGAGCCGTAACACTCACCACAAAGGTCTGCAGCTTCACTCCTGAGCCAGCGAGACCGCGAACCCACCAGAAGGAAGAAACTCCAAACACATCCGAACATCAGAAGGAACAAACTCCAGACACGCCGCCTTTAAGAACTGTAATATCGCGAGGGTCTGCCGCTTCATTCTTGAAGTCAGTGAGACCAAGAACCCACCAATTCCGGACACAATACTTTGAAACCATGACTATCCTGTTTGCTGACAAATTATCACCCTAGGGATTTTGCATCCGCCAGTGATTCATGCCTGAACCAGTTATTGCTACAGTGCCTGCAACAGTCTCTTAACTGGTTTCTCATCCTTCAACCCCTCCCTGCTCCAATTCATCCTTTGCATCTTTGATCTAGGGAACTTCCTGAGGCACAGGTTTAATTACATGACTTTCCTCCTCAAAAACCTTCGGTGGCTCCCTACTATTTAGAGAAGTCCAAACTCCTTGGCTAAGGCCAGGCATAGTGGCTCACTCCTGTAATCCCCAGCCAGGAATTTGAGACAAGCCCGGCCAACATGGTGAAACCCTGTCTCTACTAAAAATACACAAATTAGCCACGTGTGGTGGCGGGTGCCTGTAATCCCAGGTACTTAGGAGGCTGAGGCAGGAGAATCTCTTGAACCCAGGAGGCGGAGGTTGCAGTGAGCCAAGAGGGCACCACTGCACTCCAGTCTGGGCAACAGTGTGAGACTCTTATCTCAAAATAATAATAGTAATAATAATAATAATAACAGGCTAGGCGTGCCTGTAATCACGCCTGTAATCCCGGCAATTTAGGAGGCCAAGATGGGCAGATCACTGAAGGTTGGGAGTTTGAGACCAGCTGGGCTAACATGGTGAAACCCCATGTCTACTAAAAAGACAAAAATTAGCTGGGCATGGTGGCGGGAGCCTGTAATCTTAGCTACTTGGGAGGCTGGGGCAGGAGAATCGCTTGAACTGGGGAGGCAAAGGTTGCAGTGAGCCGAGATCACACCACTGCACTCTAGCCTGGGCAACAGAGCAAGACTCCATCCCAAATAATAATAATAATAATTAAAGTGGGTAGCATAACTCATTGTGGCTGCTCCATCATGACATGCAAACTGTTACTATTATTAACACTCAGGCCACCAAAGTAAGCCGTGCCCAGAGTCCCAAATGGCCAGTGAGATGGCTATCTGGGGGGCCCCAGGCCATCACCATGGGAACCAACCTGGCAGAAGGACTCACCCTCCTTTTTCTGGCCTGCAGCATCTCCTCCCACAGGGGACCTGGTGAGGAGAGACGGAGCCCTTTGGGAGCTGTCAGCTCTCGGCCCCTCCCGAGGCCTCCTCGGGATCATCACTGCGAGCTCGTCCCAGCTGGGGGCCTCCTCCTCCTGCCTCTCAACAGTGTCCCAGTCCTGCCAGAGAAGGGGAGGAGAAAGTATGTTTGCGGGAGAAAAAAGGCTGCAGGACATATACTCTCCAAATGAGAGGGGCAGAAGGAAGGGAAGGGAATTGGCATTAAAAAGCACTTCCCTGGCCAGGCGCTGTGGCTCACGCCTGCAATCCCAGCACTTTGGGAGGACGAGGTGGGTGGATCACGAGGTCAGGAGATCGAGACCATCCTGGGAAACATGGTGAAACCCCATCTCTACTAAAAAATACAAAAAATTAGCTGGGCGTGGTGGCGGGCACCTGTAGTCCCAGCTACTTGGGAAGCTGAGGCAGGAGAATGGTGTGAACCTGGGAGGTGGAGCTTGCATTGAGTGGAGATCGCGCCACTGAGCTCCAGCCTGGGTGACAGAGTGAGACTCTGTCTCAAAAAACAAAAAGAAAAACAAAACAAAAAAAAACAAAGCACTTCCCTGCAGGGCGCAGTGGCTCACGCCTGTAATCCCAACACTTTGTGAGGCTGAGGCAGGTGGATCACCTGAGGGCAGGAGTTCGAAACCAGCCTGGCCAACATGGTGAAACCCTGTCTCTATTAAAAATACAAAAACTAGCCAGGCATAGTGGTGGGCGCCTGTAATCCCAGATACTCGAGAGGCTGAGGCAGGCGAATCGCTTGAACCTGGGAGACAGAGGTTGCAGTGAGCTGAGATTGTGGCACTGCACTCCAGCCCAGGTGACAGAGCAAGACTCCATCTCAAAAATAAATAAAATTAAATAAAAAATAAAAAGCACTTCCTAAACTGTCAAGTTCTGTCCCCAAGAGGTGACAGTGAGTGGTGCCACACCTTCTGTGGTGTAGACTCCGCTCCATGGCCTCAGTAAAAAGCACTTCCAGGCTGGGCAACACAGTGAGACCCTGTCTCTACAAAATTAAAAAAAATAATAATAACTAGGCATGGTTGTGCATGCCTATAGTCCCAGCTACTGAGGAGGCTGAGGTGGGGGGATCACTTGAGCCCAGGAAGTCAAGGCTGTAGTGAGCCATGTTCACATCATTGCATTCCAGTCTGGGCAATGGAGCAAGACCCTGTCTCAATCAATCAACTTTTTTTTTTTTCTCTATTTAAGACGGAGTTTTGCTCTTGTTGCCCAGGCTGGAGTGCAATGGTGCAATCTAAGCTCACTGCAACCTCCCGGGTTCAAGCGATTCTCCTGTCTCAGCCTCCCAAGTAGCTGGGATTACAGGTGCCCACCACCACACCCTGCTAATTTTTGTATTTTTAGTAGAGACAGAGTTTCACCATGTTGGCCAGGCTGGTCTCGATCTCCTGACTTCAGGTGATCCGCCCACCTTGGCCTCCCAAAGTGCTGGGATTACAGGCGTGAGCCACCGCACCCAGTCTTCAATCAATCAATTAAATTAAAAGCATGTGCTGTTTGCCTGGCACTGTGCTGGGCTCTAGCAGGTGCTAAGTGCCAAGTCGCTCATCTTCAACGGACCTAGGAGGCATGTACATCCATTGAAGCCAAGAGCTTTGCCCAGAGTCCCAGAGTTCCGCATGTGGGACTGTGTGAGGTAGCCCCAGGGGCCAGAGAAAAGTGGGTTCAAATCCTAGCCCCACTACTTCCCAGATGTGTGGCCTCCACTAAGTTGCTCCCCCCGCTGAGCCTCAGCCCCATATGGGGCGACTGAAATCTCCACTTCTGAGGCTGTGGTGAGTCTCCCCTGAGCCCACACCCACCAAGCCCTTAGCATGGAGCTGGCCATGAAGCGTGTGAGGCTGGGTTGTTTTATTCTGAGTCTTATCACCACCCCCTGTCATTTTCCTTTTGGGGGGTCTCCTGGGACAAGCCTGTCTCTTCTGCTCTGCGGCAGCCCCTCAAAATGCAAATGCTGGAGGAAAGACTGCTGGCTCTTCTCTTTTCGTGGTTAAATGACCCCCGCAGCCTGCTCCCTTTCCTCTGTCTCTTGGAAATCTATTCCAGGGCTGGCCATGGGACTCAGCACTGTGTGTCGAGGGCAGGGCCCTGGGGCCCTGTGCCACTCTTGCGCTAGACACCAAACCCAACACTCTGGGATCTGAGAGCATGTGGCAGCCCGAGCCTGCTGGTGATTCACCCAGAGCTCCTGTCGGCTGAAACTCCTTTCCCTGTCTTTTCACAGCCAGACCCCAGCTGCCCTGGGCCAGCCTGTGCAGAAATCCCCACTCTCCAGGGGTTCGCCGGGGTGGCCCGAGCTGCCAGCTAATGGTCCAGAGGACCTCGTCGGATTCCCTGGTGTGAGGCTCAGCCCTGGCCTGGAGGTTTAGGTGGGACCCAGGGCTGCAGATGGAGGTGTGAGCCACTCTTGTCCCCCAAACTCCCACTCCTGGCTCACCACAGAGGACGAGTTGCTGGTATCATCAGGGGTGGCGGAGTCAGGGCTGGAGGTGGGGTCAGAGCCGGGGTCCTCGTTGCAGCTGCCACACAAGGAAGTGGTCAGGCCCTCCAGATAGGGTACTGCCTCAAGCTCCCGGCTCCTGCTCCTGGGGGCAGCTGTGGGACCCTCTTCTGGGAGCCCTGCTGAGGGGGATGGGCCCCTGGGAGAGGAGACAGACCCAAAAAGTAATGGGGAGTTAGGAGCATCCCCCACCCCACCCAGGCATATGCACTCACTCACACAGGGAGCCTGGGGCCCACACGCTGGTGTGGGAAAGGGAGCCAATGGTGAGAGCTGCCTCTGTGTCAGACTTTTTATATGGATTGCCTCATTGAGCTAAAACAGCATCCCTTTTTTTTTTGTAATTTTATTATTTATTTATTTATTTATTTATTTATTTATTTATTTATTTTGAGACAGAGTCTCGCTCTGTCACCCAGGCTGGAGTGCAGTGGCACCATCTCGGCTCACTGCAATCTCTGCCTCCCAGGTTCATGCCATTCTCCTGCCTCAGCCTCCCCAGTAGCTGGGACTACAGGCGCCCGCCACCACGCCTGGCTAATTTTTTGTATTTTTTAGTAGAGATGGGGTTTCACCGTGTTAGCCAGGATGGTCTCGATCTCCTGACCTCGTGATCCGCCCGTCTCGGACTCCCAAAGTGCTGGGATTACAGGCGTGAGCCACTGCGCCCAGCAACAGCATCCCTTTAAAGTAAGTATAATAATTCCCATTTTAGGCCGGGCGCAGTGGCTCACACCTGAAATCCTAGCACTTTGGGAGGTCAAGGTGGGTGGATCACCTGAGGTCAGTAGTCCGAGACTAGCCTGTCCAACATGGTGAAACCCCGTCTCTACTAAAAATAAAAAAATTAGATGGGCATGGTGGTGGCACACACCTGTAATCCCAGCTACTCAGGAGGCTGAGGCAAGATAATCGCTTGAAGCCAGGAGGTGGAGGTTGCAGTGAGCCAAGATCGTGCCATTGCGCTCCAGCCTGGGTGACAGCACGAGACTCTATCTCAAAAATAAATAAATAAAAATACAAAAATTAGTCGGGTGTGGTGGTGTATGCCTGGAATCCCAGCTACTCGGGAGGCTGAGGTTGCAGTGAGCCAACATCGTGTCATTGCACTCCAGCTTGGGTGATAGAGCAAGATGCCATCTCAAAATAATAATAATAATAATAATTCCCATTTCACAGAGGAAGACACTGAGGCTCAGAGAGGTCAAGAGACTGGCCAAGGTCACCGAGATAGGAAAGGGCAGAGCTGTGTTATGAACCAAAACTATTGCCCCAGCCCCAACTTTAAGTCTTAGTCTTAGTCTACTGACCCCAAGTTCAGTAAGTCTAAGAAGACAGACTCATGCTTGGCTAACGAGGATGTGAGAGGCAGCATGGCTCCACAGGCATTGACGGGTTCACTAGCCCAGATGCTGAGGGAGGGAGCTGCAGAGAAGGCTCTGCTTTAAAAGAAGTCACAGGCTCAAGAAGGCTTAGCGCTGGCAGTATCCCCAAAGAGTGACCCACAGACTGGCCTACACGATGATAATAAGTGATGGCCATAAAAAAGAGCTCTGTAGTCAAATGACATACTTCTCTACTTCCGTTACCCAAAAGCCACGATGCACGCAGGCAAGCTAAAGGCTCTGACAAGTCCTGCAGGAAAGCTATTCAACTTCATTTATCCCAGACTTTCTGAAACATACTTGATAACAAAGCTGTCTTTGTTTTTTTTTTCGTTTTTTTGTGGGTTTTTTTTTGTTTTTTTTTTTTGTTGTTTTTTTTTTTTTTGAGACGGAGCCTCGCTGTGTCACCCAGGCTGGAGTGTAATGGCACGATCTCAACTCACTGCAACCTCTGCCTCCCGGGTTCAAGTGGTTCTCCTGCCTCAGCCTCCCGAGCAGCTGGGATTACAGGCACCTGCCACCATGCCTGGCTAATTTTTGTATAGTTAGTAGAGACAGGGTTTCGCCATGTTGGTCAGGCTGGTCTCGACCTCCTGACCTCAAGTGATCCGCCCACCTTGGCCTCCCAAAGTTCTGGAATTACAGGCATGAGCCACTGCACCCAGGCTGTTTTTTTGTTTGTTTGTTTGTTTTAATATGCCTACCTGTGAGGAGCACATGAATGATCCCAGCACAATGCTGATTTAATTCAATCCCTCTTATTTTACAGAGAGGGAAACTGAGACACAGAAAGACAGAGTAACTTGCTCAAGACCCATCAGGGATGGATCTGAAGCTGGAACCCAGGTTTCTAGACTCTCAGACCATGGCCTCCCAAGGTACCATGACCTTAAAGGGGGACTGCCACTCAGGCCTGAGGGTGGAAGGAACCCCAGAGCCTGGAGCAGTGCACACCCACGTAGGTGGGTGACAGCAGGTGCCCCTGGGTGCAGGGACTGTTTAATCTTTTAAAGCTGTGCAAAGGGAACCAGGAAATGTGAGTAGGCTGTGGCCATGCCCACTGCAAGGTGAGTGTACAGCAGCCACACACCCTGGGGCAAAGCTGAGCTCGGTCTTGGGAGGTTATGGGGTGGGCAGGGCCCCTGGGAGAGACAGCCAGGACTGGGGAGGGGAGGCTCAGCCACTGAAGTGCAAACAGGGTGGTGTGATCTGAGTTCTTCCTGTGGGCCCAAGGAGCATGCCCACCACCCACCTGTGCCTAGGTTTAGAGGACTGACCACGTGACCCATGCCAGCAGCCATTAGAGACAGGTGCTGCCTTGGGGAAGGAGTGCAAATGGGAAGGGTGAGGGCATTCCACCCCATGAAGCCCTTCCTGGGCCCTGGGACTCTACCCACCTCTTGGGCCCTGGCCTGAGGCCTGGGTCCACCACAGACTGGCAGCCGGAGGTTGAGGCGCTGAGTGGGTCCTCAGGGGCAGGTGGACATCGAGGCAGGTCGCAGTAGGGCACCTCAGCACCTGAAGGGCTCCTGAGCTCCTGGGCCAGGGTTGGAGAGAGGAGACAGCTCAGCGCCCACGTGGGGGCTCCCCTCCCCCTGCACAGCCCCTCCCGGTGGCGTGGGAGTCTCCAGGCATCTCCTCGGGGGATCCTGCACTTCTCAAGGAGCTGCCCATCAGGCTAGAAGCACCCCTTGGGACTCAAGCCGAGGGCTGGCTGAGGTACCTGGTGTGTGCCTGCACACGTGAGTGTACACATATGGGCCTTGGAGCAGGTATGTGTGTGGATAAAGGCCTGGTATTGGGGGCACATGTGTGCACATAGGTGGAGCGAGCTCTTGCGCATGCGTGTCTACGCAGGTCCCGCGGGTACACCGATCTGTACGTTTGCATGAGTGCAACTTCATGTATACATGCATGTATGTGCGTGCGCCCCAGAACGAGGTGGATAGAAGGATCCACCAGGGTCTTTTGCGGCCAAAAGACAAGGGCGAGGAGGAAGGATTAGGCTGGCTGAGAGAAGGGAGAGGTCTGAGGGAGGAAGAGGCAGTTTGATGGTAGAGGAGATGGGAAAGCAAGGTCTTGGAGGACAGAAGAGATTTGCCCCACTAAAGGAGAGGCAGGGGATCCAGGGCTGGAGGGTCAAGGCCCCAGGAAAAGGGCGGGGGCTAGAGCCAGCTGCCCACTCCTCTCTCCCTCCACCTTTGGCAAGGCCACACCTGTGAAGGCTGGTCTGGTGCTGGGCTCACCAGGGGGGAACGGCTGCTCACCTCCAGGGCCCCCCCCAATTCCTCCCCACCTCTGGAGAGCGGCAGTTCCCTCCCCTGGTGGTGGGAGACAGCGGCCATGGCACCCTGCGCCCCGCCTCCTCTCGGATTACCTGGGCTGCGGGCTCTGGTGGTGGTGGTGGCTGTCGACTGTCAGCACCCTCGTCCCCGGGGGGCTCCGGCTCAGGCCCCCACACTGCTGCCCTCCCAGGCCCCGACTCCGGGCTGTGGTGGCAGCAGCCGCCGAGGCAGTGGAAACCTTAGAGGGGCCGGCTTCGGGAGCAGGGGCCCCTCATTACAGTTTCATAAGCCGGGCCCCAGCCAAGAACAATGAAAGACATGAAACCGCAGGAACCCGATCCCAGCAGCTCACCTGAGAGCCGGGAGGGGCAAGAGCCTGGGCCTGGGATCCCTGGGGACCCTGGAGCCCAGAGCCCAGGGCCAAGGCAGCAGCCTGGTCGGCACCACAGGGTGGGCACAGGCTCTCCAGGTTCCAAGAAGGCCACTGCTGGGGTCAGGCAGTGCCAAGAAGTGGGGTTGGGATGTCTGCCGTGACATCCAGGCCAGGGGAGGCCTGGTGGGATTCAGTTTCACCCCCTGCCCTGCAGCCAGATTCTGATCAGAGCTCGGCAGCAGGAGGTGTCAGATCCACAGCCGGGCCTGGCGCCTTGGCCACCCAGGGGACAGCACAGCAGAAATGAGGAGAGACTTGCCAGGCATCAACCAGGGGTCTCTGCCCCGCCAGGCCCAGCAGGAACCCTAGCCTAATGTGACACCTCATCCTGGCTTTCACCCCAGCCCCCGTCACCACCCCACACCACCCACTTGAGTGGGCCCCACGGTCAGTCCCCAGCTCTGATTTCCTGTCTGGCGGGTCAGCACTGGCTCTGGCCTCAGATGGACCTCGGGCCCCATCCTGGCTCCTCCGGTTCCCGGCTGGTGACCTCAGGCCGATGACTTCCCCTTTCGGAGCATTGTTTTCTCCTCTCGGAAATGGAGGCTGAGAAGCGACCAAGACCTGGGCCACGTGACTTATCCTCTCTGTGCCTCAGTTACCTCATCTACAAAACCGGCAGGATAGCAGGACCCACCTCCTAGGGGTGTTCTGAGAATTAAACGAGTTAATATTTGTAAAGGGCTTTTTTTTTGAGACAGAGTCTCGCTCTTATAGCCCAGGTTAGAGTGCAATGGTGCAGTCTCGGCTCACTGCAACCTTCGCCTCCTGGGTTCAAGCAATTCTTCTGCCTCAGCCACCCCAGTAGCTGTGATTACAGGTGCCCGACACCATGCCCGGCTAATTTTTCTATTTTTAGTAGAGACAGGGGTTTGCCATGTTGGCGAGACTGGTCTCGAACTCCTGATGGCAGGTGATCTGCCTGCCTCGGCCAAAGTGCTGGGATCACAGGCATGAGCCACTGTGCCTGGCCTCAATTTTTTTTTTTTTTTTTTTTTGTGAGACGGAGTCTCACTCTGTCGCTCAGGCTAGAGTGCAGTGGCGTGATCTTGGCTCACTGCAAGCTCCGCCTCCCGGGTTCATGCCATTCTCCTGCCTCAGCCTCCCGAGTAGCTGGGACTATGGACGCCCGCCACCATGCCCAGCTAATTTTTTGTATTTTTAGTAGAGACAGGGTTTCACCGTGTTAGCCAGGATGGTCTCGATCTCCTGATCTCGTGATCCGCCCGCCTCGGCCTCCCAAAGTGCTGGGATTACAGCCGTGAGCCACCACGCCCGGCCTTTTTTTTTTTTTTCTTTTTTTTGAGACAGAGTCTCACTCTGTCACCCAGGCTGGAGTGCAATGGCGCGATCTCAGCTCACTGCAACCTCTGCCTCCCGGGTTCAAGCAATTGTCCTGCCTCAGCCTCCTGAGTAGCTGGGACTACAGGGGTCCGCCACCATACCCAGCTAATTTTTGTATTTTTAGTAGAGACGGGGTTTCACCATGTTGGCCAGGGTGGTCTCGAACTCCTGACCTCAGGTGATCCACCTGCCTCGGCCTCCCAAAGTGCTGGGATTACAGACGTGAGCCACCACTCCCAGCCAATTTTTTTTTTTTAAACATACAGATTTTTTGACTCCATGTTAGAAATCTGTTGACCTAAAGCTAGAGGCAAATATGGCCAAGGGTCCAGAATCCTTGGAGGAAAAATGGGCTAAATTTGGTCCCTGGAGACCTGTGGTGACAGAGAGATGGGGAGAGAGTGGGTGAGGCAGACAGAGTCAGCCAGGGAAGACCCGCCCCAACCCCAGCAGCAGCATCTGAGGGTGATGGAAAAAAAACCCACCCATTCCTTCAATGCCTGACCACGTGGCACCATGGAATAGGTCCAGAGTGGCAGAGGAGTGCACAGGCAGGCAGGTGGAAGAGGCTGGAAGAGGCAGTTGCCATCTTCTGGGGCCCAGGAGGTTTTTTTGTTTTTTTTGAGATGGAGTTTTTCGCTCTTGTCGCCCAGGCTGGAGTGCGGTGGCCAGATCTCGGCTCACTGCAACCTCCGCCTCCCGGATTCAAGAAATTCTCCTGCCTCAGCCTCCCGAGTAGCTGGGATTACAGGCATCCGCCACCACACCCTGTTAATTTTTGTATTTTTGTATTTTTAGTAGAGTCAGGATTTCACCATGCTAGTCAGGCTGGTCTCAAACTCCTGACCTCAAGTGATCCACCCGCCTCGGCCTCCCAAAGTGCTGGGATTACAGGCGTGAGCCACCGCGCCCGGCCCAGTGTCAGTTTTTTACTATCACATCTGGTATACACAGGGAGCTGCTACCTGCCCAGAGTTGGGTCCCAGGGCCTGGCTCGGAGACACAACAGTCACCCCTCATGCATTTGCCAAAGGAGAGTTTCACAGCCTTGATCATCATCAGAGCAACTGGAAGCTCAAGAAAGTGGAGGATTTGATGTCGTGCCCCTCTCTGATCTTTTTTTTTTTTTTTTAAGATAGTCTTGCTGTGGCAGTGGCATGATCACAGTGCACTGCAGCCTCAATCTCCTGGGCTCAAACAATCCTCCTGCCTCAGCCTCCCAAGTAGCTGGGACTGCAGGCATGCACCACTACACCCAGTTCATTTTTTGTTTTGTAGAGATGGGATCTCACTTTGTTAACTAGGCTGGTCTTAAACTCCTGGTTTCAAGCCATCCTTTAGCCTCAGCCTCCTAAAGTGCTGTGATCACAGGCGGGAGCCATTGTGCCTGGCCCCCTCTCTTGAAACCATCTCTGGTCTTGGCTCCTGGGGAGGAGGGGCACACTGTGGGGTTTGCCTCCTAGCCTCTGGCCTTCTTGGCTGTCTCTGCTGATTCCCTGGCCTCCACCCAGGCCTGTTCTCATCTCATTCCACACTTTCTTCCACAGATGATAGGCTCATCCGTGAGCAAGACTTTGGTCAGTGACAGATCCTGAAGACTCGCAGGCCTCCATCTCCTGTGATGGTCTGGCTCTGAGCTCCAGCCCCACCAATTCACTAACTTCCCCCTCATCTCCACTGTATCCTGCCGACACCCCACACCATGCCCCAGACAACTCCAAACAGACCTCCCAACCCAAGTACCCTGCCTGAAGAAATTACAGGAGTCAGCCATGGGTTTCTCCCCTCCCTCACCCCCAAATCCTGTAGACGTGCCTGCTCAATTAGTTCGGAAATGTGTCCATTTGCCTCCATCTCAAAGCCCCAATCATCTCTGGCACCGATGAGTACGTGCACCTTTTCCTGGCGGGTCACCTGATTCACTCTCACCACCCTGCCCTCCATTCTCTCTGCCCAGCAATCAGAGTGACTGTGAAAAATGCAAATCAGAGCACGTCACTCCCTTATTTGAAATCTTCCGTGGCTTGGCCGGGCGAGGTGGCTCACACTTGTAATCTCAGCACTTTGGGAGGCCAAGGAGGGCAGATTGCTTGAGGCCAGGAGTTCAAGACCAGCCTGAGCGGCATGGTGAAACCCCATCTCTACTAAAAATACAAAAATTAACTGGGTTTGGTAGTACATGCCTGTAGTCTCAGCTACCTGGGAGGCTGAGGCAGGAGAATCGCTTGAACCTGGGAGGCAGAGGTTGCAGTGAGCCGAGATCACGCCTCTGCACTCCAGCCTGTGCGACAGAGCGAGACTCCATCTCAAAAAAAAACAAAAACAAAACAGAAAAAAACCTCAGAATCCTAAGTCCTCAACATGTCCACAAAGCCGCACAAGGCCAGTGAGACCAGGCCTCCCCCCATTCTCCATCCTTGTCCTATAGCTCCTCTGTGCCCCCCTCTTGCCTGTCCTCTCCAGCCCGATGTGCAGCCTCCTTTCTGCCTCAGGGCCTTTGCATATTCTTTGTTTGTTTGTTTTGTTTTGAGAGGATTCTCGCTCTGTTGCCCAGGCTGGAGTACAGTGGTGCAATCTTGGCTCACTGCAACCTCTGCCTCCTGGGTTCAAGAGATTCTCCTGCCTCAGCCTCCTAAGTACCTGGGATTACAGGCACCCACCACCACATGTAGCTAATTTGTGTATTTTTAATAGAGATGGGGTTTCACCATGTTGGCCAGGGTGGTCTTGAACTCCTGACCTCAGGTGATCCACCCGTCTCGGCCTCGTAAAGTGCTGAGATTACAGGCATGAACCACTGCACCTGACCTGTTTGTTTGTTTTGTTTTTGAGACAAGGTCTCATTCTGTTGCCCAGGCTGGAGTGCATTGGCATGCTCATGGCTCACTGCAACCTTGAACTCCTGGGATCCAGTAATCCTCCCACATCAGCCTTCTGACTAGCTGGGACTACAGGTGTGCACCATCCTGCCTGGCTAATTTTTTTTTTTTTTTTTTTGGTAGAAATGGGGTCTCACTGTGCTGCCCAGGCTGGTCTCAAACTCCTGAGTTCAAGTGATCTTCCTGCTTCGGTGCCTCAATCCAAGCACTTCCTCCCAAAGTGCTGGGATTACAGGCGTGAGCTGCCGTGCCAGGCTGGCCTTTGCACATTCTCCTTCCTTCCTCTCCTCTTCCTGCAATTTCACTAATGCTAATGCCTGCACAGCCTTTACTAAGCAGCTGAAATGTCATTTTTTTTTTTTTGGAGAAACTTTCCCTAATGCCCTATCCTTTACCTTCATGCCACTTACTGTTCCTTTATACATTTATCACAACCAAGATTAAATAATCATGTGCATTTCTCTTGCTAGAATATAAGCCCCATGAAGACAAGCCAGGGATGTGTCCCTCTCTCCTCCTCTCCTCCTCTCTCTCCCCCTCCCCCTTCCCCTCCCCCTTCCCCTCCTTCTCCCTGTTTTCTGTACTGTTCTGTTCTGTTCTGTTCTGTTCTGTTCTGTTCTGTTCTGTTCTGTTCTGTTCTGAGTCAGGGTCCAACTCTGTCACCCAGGCTGAAATACAGTAATGCGATCACGGCTCACTGAAGCCCCCGCCTCCCAGTCTCAGGTGATTCTCCCACCTCAGCCTCCTGAGTAACTGAGACTATAGCCGCATCCCACTACGCCCAGCTAATTTTTTAAATTTTTTGTAGAGATGGGGTTTTGCCATGTTGCCAGGATGGTCTCAAACTCCAAGTGATCCACCCACCTTGGCCTCCCAAAGTGCTGGGATTACAGGAGTGAGTCACTGTGCCTGGCTGTGCCTTTCTGATTTATCATGATTTCCCCATCATCTAGCATAATGCCTGGCACATTTTAAGCACCTATTCAGTACGTATGAATTTGTGAGCTGACCCACGGTCTCGGGTGGGAAATGGTGGGATTGAGACTAGAACTCAGACGAGCCTGAATCCACGGCTCTCCTGTTCCATTCTTGCCATCTTCCCAACCACTGGAAGAAAGTCATTTGCATGAAAGATGGACTCCCAGGCATCTGTTCCCTGAACCTGAACTTGCAGGTGAGCACAAGAGAGCTATTATTGGAGGTATCAAGACTGGTAGAAGCTGGGCGCGGTGGCTCATGCCTGTAATCCCAGCACTTTGGGAGGTCGAGGTGGGCGAATAACGAGGTCAGGAAGATCGAGGCCATCCTGGCTAACATGGTGAAACCCTGTCTCTACTAAAAAGACAAAAAATTAGCTGGGCGTGGTGCCGGGTGCCTGTTGTCCCAGCTACTCATGAGGCTGAGGCAGGAGAATGGCATAAACCTGGGAGGCCGAGCTTGCAGTGAGCCCAGATCGCACCACTGTACTCCAGCCTGGGCAACAGAACGAGACTCTGTCTCAAAAAAAAAAAAAAAAAAAGAGGACCTTCAGACCCCAATGGGAATGACGAAGCCATGGTGGTCAAGGTTGGAAGGGCCCTCGGAGGTTCGTGAGTCCCAGGTTTCTCATTGCGTGTGTATCAGGTGCTCTGTGTTTACATGCATGGGGGCTTGGCAGCAGACTACATCAATCACAAAGTCAGAAAAGGACTCTTCTTCACTCCTTCAATAACTTGAAGAAGAAAATCTCGGCCAGGCGCGGTGGCTCACACCTGTAATCCCAGCACTTTGGGAAGCCGAGGCAGACAGATCACAAGGTCAGGAGTTCGAGACCAGACTGACCAACATGGTGAAACCCTGTCTCTACTAAAGATACAAAAATTAGCTGGGCATGGTGGTGGGCACCTGTAATCCCAGGTACTCAGGAGGCTGAGGCAGGAGAATTGCTTGAACCCAGGAGACGGAGGTTGCAGTGAGCTGAGATTGAGCCACTGAACTCTAGCCTGGCGACAGAGAGAGACTCCGTCTCAAATGAAAAAAAAAGAAAGAAAAAAAAGGATTCTTCTTCACTCCTTCAATAACTTGAAGAAGAAAATCTTGAGACCAGGTGCAGTGTCTCACACCTGTAATCCCTGCAGTTACAGAGGTTGAGGTGGGAGGATCACCTGAGCCCAGGAATTTGAGACCAGCCCTGGCAACATAGTGAGATCCCATCTTTACAAGAAAATTAGCTGGCCATGGTGGCATGTGCCTGTAGTCCCTGCTACTCAGGAGGCCAAGGTGGGAAGATCATTTGAGCCTGGGAGGTCGAGGCTACAGTGAGCCATGTACTATAGGTTGGACCACTGCACTCCAGCCTGTGCTACAGAGCAAGACCCTATCTCCAAAAAAAAAAAAAAAAAAAAAAAAGAGAGAGAGAAAGAAAATCTCTAGATGATGCTGGTGTATTCTTAACATCTCTCTAACATCTGCTAATCTCCCTTTTTGACAAAGAGACAGCAGGATGCAAGCTCAGAGCCTTCCATAGAAAACACTCTCGAGGCCAGGCGCGGTGGCTCACGCCTGTAATCCCAACACTTTGGGAGGCTGAGGCGGGTGGATCACCTGAGGTCAGGAGTTTAAGACCAGCCTGGCCAATATGGCGAAACCCCGTTTCTACTAAAAATACAAAAATTAGCTGGGCATGGTGGCAGGCACCTGTAATCCCAATACTTGGGAGGCTGAGGCGGGAGGATCGCTTGAACCTAGGAGGCAGAGATTGCAGTGAGCTGAGATCACACCATTGCCATTGCACTCTAGCCCAGGCGACAGAGTGAGACTCTGTCTCAAAAAAAAGAAAAAGAAAAAGAAAACACTCTCAAGTTAGGGTGTAACGACATTTCTGTTTTGTTTTTTCTTTTTCTACCTTTCTTCTCTTTTTTGTTTTGTTTTGTTTTGTTTTTTGAGACAGTTTCATTCTGTTGCCCAGGCTGGAGTGCAATGGCGCGATCTCGGCTCACCACAATCTCCGCCTCCCAGGTTCAAGTGATTCTCCTGCCTCAGCCTCCCAAGTAGCTGGGATTACAGGCATGCACCACCATGCCCAGCTAATTTTCACCATGTTGGCCAGGCTGGTTTCAAACTCCCGACCTCGGGTGATCCACCCACCTCGGCCTCCCAAAGTGCTGGGATTACAGGCGTGAGCCACCGTGCCCAGCCTCTACCTTTCTTCTTAACCTCTTCTTCTTAACAGGAAGTAATTCTAGTTTTCTACTTGTGTTGATGATGTGAAGTTTTGTTTCAATAGAAGGGGAAAAAGATGTTGATTTAAAGAATAACAAAGTAAGTAACAGATTAGATAAGGCTATGGTAACAATCGTATCATATAAGCAGGAGGAAAGTGACTGAAGATTGTGAAACATTCACATGGTTCAACCACTTCCCTGCAATGTGGGAAAACCGAGGCTCTCGACAGGAGGAAGTCCAGCATCTGGGTTCAACTGCGAGTTAGCGGACACCACAGGCCCAGTCCTTCACCCATGCCCCCATCACAAACCACCCCAACCACGTGGAAAACTGGCCCACCTGGTATCTTGCTCCATGGGCCTCCTCAGGGTGGAAGCAGTTTTGACAGCGGTTCTGGGTAAGTATGTTGGCCTCAAAGTGTTCACACAGGGCATCCCCAGGCACCTCCTCCATATTGGGTGAGTCAGGCCAGGGCAGTTCCTATGATCCAATGGCTGACCGTCTATGTGAGGCCTGGCAAAAATGAGGGGGAGGCAAAGACCAGATGACTGGCTGGCCACTCACCTGAACCCCAGCCCCAGTTGCCCCAGTTTCCAGACAAGGACCAAGGAAATAAGGTTACTCATCCATTCCTTTGGGTTCCTGTTCTCCATCCATTCCTGTTCATTTATTCACTCAACAAACACTCACTAAGCACCTACTAAGCACCAGGCACTCTGCCAGCATTTGATGTGCGATTTCTAGTCCTTACTGCAGTGTTGCTGAAAGTGCACGCCAAGGACTCTGCATTACACCCTCCTGGGCTGTTCATAAAAATGCAGATACCAGGCCAGGCACAGTGGCTGATGCCTGTAATCCCAGCACTTTGGGAGGCCGAGGTGGGCCGATCACTTGAGGTCAGGAGTTCGAGACCAGCCTGGCCAATATGGTAAAACCCTGTCTCTACTAAAAATACAAAAATCAGCCAAGTGTGATGGCACGTGCCTGTAATCCCAGCTACTTGGGAGCCTGAGGCAGGAGAATGGCTTGAACCCAGGAGGCGGAGGTTGCAGTGAGCCAAGATTGCGCCATTGCACTCCAGCCTGGGCGACAGAGTGAGACTTCATCTCAAAACAAAAAACAAAAAAATGCAGATTCCAGCTGGGCCCATTGCGGGCGGCGGATCATTTGAGCCCAAGAGTTCAAGACCATCCTGGGCAACTGGCGAAACTCCGTCTCTACAAAAAATACAAAAATTAGCTGGGCAAGGTGGTGCAGGCCTGTGGTCCCTGCTACTCAGGAGGCTGAAGTTGGGAGGATCACCTGAGTCTGGGAGGTCGAGGCTGCAGTGAGCCATGACTGTGCCACTGCACTGAGAAAAAAAAAAAGCAGATTTCAGCTGGGTAAGATGGTGTGCACCTGCAGTCCAAGCTACTCGGGAGGCAGAGGTGGGAGGATCTCTTGAGCCCAGGAGTTTGAGGTGGTAGTGTGCTATAACTGCACCTGTGAATAGTTACAGCACTCCAGCCTAGGCAACATAGCAAGACCACATCTCAAAAAAAAAAAAAAAAAATCTAGATTCCCCTTTCTCTCTCCCAATTCACACAGTTAGAATCTCCAAGAGACTGAGGTCTGGGGCTGTGCATGTTAAAGAAGTGATTCCAGCCGAGGGCGGTGGCTCACGCCTGTAATCCCAGCACTTTGGGAGGCTGAGGCAGGCAGATCACTTGAGGCCAGGAGTTCAAGACCAGCCTGGCCAACATGGTGAAACCCCGCCTCTACTAAATACAAAAATTAGCTGGGCGTGGTAGCACGCACCTGTAGTCCCAGCTACTTGGGAGGCTGAGGCACGAGAATCGCTTGAACCTGGGAGGCAGAGGTAGCAGTGAGCGGAGAGCACGCCACTTCACTCCAGACTGAGCAACAGAGCGAGACTCCATCTCAAAATAAATAAATAAATAAATAAATAAATGAAAATGAAAATAAAGAAGCGATTCCTGGCCAGGCGCAGTGGCTCACGCCTATAATCCCAGCACTTTGGGAGGCCGAGGCGGGCAGATCACCTGAGGTCAGGAGTTCGAGACCAGCCTGGCCAATATTGCCAAACCCTGTCTCTACTAAAAATACAAAATTAGCCAGGCATGGTGGTATGCACCTGTAGTCCCAGTTACTCGGGAGGCTGAGGCAGGAGAATCACTTGAACCCAGGAGGCGGAGGTTGCAGTGAGCCAAGATTGCACCACTGTACTCCAGCCTGGGTGATAAGAGTGAGACTCTGTCTTAAAAAAAAAAAGTGATTCCCCAGGTGATTCTAGTGCGCCCCAAAGTTTGAGTGTCCTTGTCTTATAGCTGCATTGTAGATCAAATTAATGCCAATTTTAGATCAGGCAACTAAGGCTCAGAGAGGTTCCTTCGGTCACTGAAGGTCGCAGTGGCTGATTCAAATCCAGGGCTGTGTGTGTCCCTGCTCTCTCGGAGGTGGAAGTGAGGAGCACTGGATCATACTGCCAACTCGCACAGGTCCCTTGGGAAGCACAGCGAGGGAGGCAAAAAGCTGGCCAGGTATTTTCAGAGTTGAGGACGACGTCTTTGACAAACGTGAACAGCCTAAAGTCACACAGCAAGTTTGTGGCAGAACTTAGCCAAAAAGAAATCCTAATGTGTTTTCGTTTTGTTTTGTTTTGTTTTTTTGAGACGAAGTCTCTCTCTGTCACCTAGGCTGGAGTGCCGTGATGTGATCTTGGCTCACTCGGCTCACTGCAACCTCCGCCTCCTGGGTTCAAGCAATTCTACCTCAGCCTCCCCAGTAGTATCTGGGATCACAGGCATGCACCGTCATGCCTGGCTAATTTTTGTATTTTTAGTAGCAACGGGGTTTCGCCATGTTGGCCAGGTGAACTCCTGACCTCAGGTGATCCGCCCCCTTCGGCCTCCCAAAATGCTGGGATTACAGGTGTGAGCCACTGCATCCGGCCCCTAATGTCTTTTTTGGGGAGGTGGGGGCAGGGTCTTGCTCTGTCACCCAGGCTGGAGTGCAGTGGCTCGATCATAGCTCCTTGCAACCTCAAACTCCCGGGCTCAAATGATTCTCCTGCCTCAGTCTCTGGGACTGAGTAACTGGGACTACAGGTGTACGCCACCACGCCCAGCTAATTTTTTTCTTTTTTATTTTGTAAAAATGGGCTCTTGGCCAGGTGCGGTGGCTCACGCCTATAATCCCAGCACTTTGGGAGGCTGAGGCAGGCAGATCACTTGAGGCCAGGAATTCAAGACCAGCCTGCCCAACATGATGAAACCCTGTCTCTACTAAAACTATAAAAATTAGCTGGGCGTGGTGCGCATGCCTGTAATCCCAGCTACTCAAGAGGCTGGGGCAAGAGAATTGCTTGAACCCAGGAGGTGGAGGTTGCAGTGGAGCTAAGATCGCCCCGCTGCACTCCAGCCTGGGCAACAGTGTGTCTCAAAAAAAAAAAAAAAAAAAAAAAAGGCTCTTGCAGTGTTACCCAGGCTGGTTTTGAACTCCTGAACTCCTGACCTCAAGTAATCCTCCTCCTTCCCTCAAAGTGCTGGGATTACAGGTGTGAAGCATCATACCCTTCTGAAACCCTGGTGTCTTTCTTTCTTTTTTTTTTTTTTTTTTTGAGACAGAATCTCGGTCTATCACCCAGGCTGGAGTGCAGTGGCGCGATCTCGGCTCACTGCAACCTCTGCCTCCCGGATTCAAGCAATTCTCCTGCCGCAGCCTCCCAAATAGCTGGGATTACAGGCATGTGCCACCATGCCCGGATAATTTTTTTGTATTTTTGGTAGAGACGAGGTTTCACCATATGGGCCAGGCTGGTCTCGAACTCCTGACCTTGTGATCCACCCACCTCGACCTCCCAAAGTGCTGGGATTACAGGCTTGAGCCACCGCGCCCGGCCGCCCTGGTATCTTACTTGTGCAAGGGTTCTCCTTTCTGGGTGCCCCTAAGGCCACCAACATCCATGCCCTGGAGTGGAGCTGGGTCAGGAGAATCACTTAAAGATGGCCTCCCCACTCACACAGAGCCCCAGGGGGAGGGTGGGGGGTGGGAGGAACCCAACATCCCAAAACACCTGCAGCTTTTGGTGCCCCCAGGTCACCTGCCCACATCCATCCTCACCTGCTGTGTTCCAGGGGATCAGGCTTTTGTGGCCAATCTTGGTGGAGAGCTGAGGAATTTCACCTCCTCCCCTGGGACAGCCAGGGCCAAGGCTCCTCCATCATCAGACCTGGAGAAGGGAATGCGGTGGGGGCGACAGCAAGGCACGGTGGGGAGAGGGCTACCCACTGGTCCTTCCGTGGCCCCAGGGTCTCTGATCCTCCCCGGGCGGTCGTCCTCCCGACTCCTGGTGGTGGAAGAGGGGCGCATCGGCCCCGCCCGTCCTGGGCGTTTCTCTCCTGGTCTGGCCACATAAAGGAGCGTCGCCTAGCAGGAGAACGCCGCTCATTTTCCTGGGGGTGGGTAGGGGGCTCTACTCCACGTGCCCCTCGCTGCTCCCGTTTCCTCCCCTACCCACAACCAATAGGCAGAATCCTTCTCTAAAATGCACTTGAGATGTGGATATAATAATCAAAACCTTAAGCAGCTACACATGCCCCACCCAGAGAATGGACCCGGGACCCTCTCCATCCAGGCATTCAGCCAGTTCCTCCCCGGATCCCTCGACCCCTACCCCTCCTGTAGGCCTCCCCCTACCAGCTCCTCTTTTCTGAGGCCCAGTGCTAACCTTGGCTGGGTTTCCACGCACAGGGGCTGCCGGGGTGGGAGTGCCAGGGTCATGGCCTCTTTATTTTAACAATGAATCAGAGCGATGCTCGGGAGGTGGAAGGCCACGCCCCTGCCACGCTCGCATAGGCTCTCTCTGGGTGCCTCATTTACATGAAGACTGTGGGACTCTGTGGGACTGGACAAACCAGAACAAGGGGCGGGGCGGAGGCAGGCGGGGCGCAGATACCTCTGAGAGCGGGACTCACTGCACGTTTAGCCTGGGCCGCCTGCAGCCCTTGCCCGCTGGGGGTCCCCAGGGAGCCCTGGAGAGGGCTGGCACTGGCGGATCTGGCTCCTTCTGACCTCTTTCCCGTTGGTTCATTCTGCCGACAGTCCGCTGGGCTGGCTTTAGCACAGACCTTGGACTAGAGTCTTAACCTCTCTGTCATGACAGTTTTCTTACCGAGGAGGCGGAGGTTGCAGTGAGCTGAGATAGCGCCATTGCACTCCAGCCTGGGCGACAGAGCAAAACTCTTGTATAAAAAAGAAAAAAAAAATAGCCTGGCGTGGTGGTGTGCGCCTGTAGTCTCAGCTACTCAGAAGGCTGAGGCAGGAGCATCGCTTGAACCCGGGAGGCGGAGGTTGCAGTGAGCCGAAATCACACCACTGCACTCCAGCCTGGGCAACAGAGTGAGACTCCGCCTTAAAAAAAAAAAAAAAAAAAAAAAAAAAAACTTGTTTCCCATCTTTTTTCCTTTTGGTTGATATTTGCCAATTGTGGCGACTGGGATGGGAGGAGGAGGGCGAAATTCACTGGACAGGGAGGAAGGTTGCAGCAGGAGTCCAGGAGAGATGGGTGCAGTGATGAGACAGGGAAGGTAAACTAGATTCAGACACTTGTAGGCAGGTGAGCTTGGCACTAGGGTCACAGAAATCTTAGATTATTTTGAGAGTTGTTGGGGATCACCTGGGGGTTGGATTCAGACAGGATTGGCTGAGAACCTACATTGACACAAGCTTGTGCCCAGAGCAGAAACAGAAATGACTAAGATACAATTTCTCACTCAGAAAGCTCTGGTCTGGTTCGAGGGACAAACCAGGATTCACTGTGTTCAGTGTTTAAAAGAAGGAAACACCTACTATCATGGGAGGTCAGGTGGAGAAAGGAGGAAGGCAGAGAAGGCTTCTCCTTGGAGGTGGCTCAAAGGTGAGGAGATCGAGAAAGGCTGAGAACAGCCTGCAAACCTCTGAAGGTGGCTGGGGGAGGCCAATGCTAGCTCAGAACAAGGCGGGCATTTCTAGCAGTCCTCACAAGGGAGCAGGCAGTGAGCTCTCCAAGCTCAGGAGGAACTGAAGCCCCTCACCAGAGCCACCTGCAAGCCAAAGGAAGGTCAATGGCTCAAACCTGGGGGCGTCAAGGTCGTCAGCACCACTGGGACCTTGGAAAGGATGGACGCTGAGGCTTATATGACCCCAGAACACCTGCCCCCACAGTTCCTCACCTCACCCCCCTGGGGAGAGCTCAGGCCACCCCAAAACAGATCGTACCAAAAGAAGTTTTATTTTAATGGGCTGAGCCCAGCCTCAGGTAACTATGGCCACAGCTCATCATGTACTAGCACAGGGCCTGACCTTGGTGTGAAAACCGAGGATGGATAAATGTCTGCTGTGACTTTAGCTCCACACAGATGGATCCCCTCATGACAGCCCTTTATATATTTGGCTTCTGTGAAATAATCTGCTGATTATACCCCAACACCCATTCTCTCATTTTTTTTTTTTTTTTTTTTTTGAGACAGATTCTCGCTCAGTTGCCCAGGCTGGAGTGCAGTGGCGCGATCTCTGCTCACTGCAAGCTCCGCCTCCCGGGTTCATGCCATTCTCCTGCCTCAGCCTCCCAAGTAGCTGGGACTACAGGTGCCCGCCACCACGCCCAACTAATTTTTTGTATTTTTAGTAGAGACGGGGTTTCACCGTGTTAGCCAGGACGGTCTTGATCTCCTGACCTCGTGATCTGCCCGCCTTGGCCTCCCAAAATGCTGGGATTACAGGTGTGAGCCACTGCGCCTGGCCTCATTCTCTCATTTTTGAGATGGAGTCTTGCTGTTGTCACCCAGGCCGGAGTGCAGTGGTGTGATCTTGGCCCACTGCAACCTCTGGCCCTCGGGTTCAAGTGATTCTCATCTCAGCCTCCCAAGTAGCTGGGATTACAGGCACCTGCCATCACACCTGGCTAATTTTTATATTTTTAGTAGAGATCGGGTTTCGCCACGTTGGCCAGGCTGGTCTCAAACACCTGATCTCAGGTGATTGGCCCACCTCAGCCTCCCAAAGTGCTGGGATTACAGGCACGAACCACTGTGCCAGGCCCCATTCTCTCCTTTCTAACACAATCCCCAATTCTCATCTGAGCACTTGGTTTCCCAGAATAGAAGAGTTCCTGGCCGGGCGGGGTGGCTCATGCCTGTAATCCCAGCACTTTGGGAGGCCACGGTGGGTGGATCACCTGAGGTCAAGAGTTCGAGACCAGCCTGACCAACGTGGCAAAATCCCATCTCTACTAAAAACACAAAAATTAGTCAGGCGTGGTGGCAGGTGCCTATAGTCCCAGCTACTGGGGAGGCTGAGGCAGGAGAGTTGCTTGAATCCGGGGAGCAGAGGTTGCAGTGAGCCGAGATTGTACCATTGCACTCCAGCCTGGATGATGAGCAATACTACATCTCAAAAAATAAATAAATAGAAGAGTTCCTAGCCTGTCTTGTAGCTAAGAGCTCCCTTGCCTCTGCCTCATGCTTTGCCTCCTGCCTGGCCAACAGGACATGCCAAGTGCCAATTTTTCTTTTTTTTTTTTTTTGAGACGGAGTTTCACACTTGTTGCCAAGGCTGGAGGGCAATGGCATGATCTCGGCTCACCGCAACCTCCACCTCCCAGGTTCAAGCAATTCTCCTGGCTCAGCCTCTCGAGTAGCTGGGATTACAGGCATGCGCCACCACACCCAGCTAATTTTGTATTTTTAGTAGAGACAGGGGTTTCTCCATGTTGGTCAGGCTGGTCTCGAACTCCCGACCTCAGGTGATCCACCCGCCTTGGCCTCCCAAAGCGCTGGGATTACAGGCGTGAGCCACCATACCTGGCCCTAAATGTTTTCAAAAGGAGGGGCATGTTCTTCATCCCCTTTTCTGTCCTGCTGGCTGAAATGCAGACATAATGGCTGCAGCTCAAGCAGCCACCTTGTGCTGTGAGGCAGGGGCCATGTGTTGAAAATGGCACACAACATAGAACACAGCATAGAGTTAGAAGCCCGGCATCCCAGCCTCCAGCCTTCCCAGCTCCAGGCTGGGAACCTCCCATCTTTGGGATGGGAACTCTTTTACACAAGCCAGTTGTTTTTCAATTTTGTTTTAGAGTATATGCAGCTAAACTTAACTCTTCCTCATACATCTCTCAGAGGCCCAACTCTGGAAAGCGACAGGAGGAAGGAGCCCAGGTGCCTCCACAGCAATGGTGAGGGGCTCCTGGAGAAAAGACAAGTTCTCCAGAGGGCTCTGAATCCACCACCCTGATCCTAGAATTGGTCAAATCACTGTGACTCAACTTCCCTGGTCTGCTGGAAGAAATGAAGGCACACATGGAAAGGAGTGGCTGAGAATTTAATACTGGTAAACACTATAAATTGTAAATGTAAGTTGTAAATGACCTTGTCACTGGAGAGGGGAGAAGGAACTGGAGTCAGACGTCCCAGCAGAAACAGCAGCGGCAACATGCGGTAGGCACACCTGGAGAGCAACAGGCACTTTGGTAAGTGGTTCATGCACATGGTCTTATTTTAGTCTCGGGGCAGCCCTAAGAGGTAGGTATCTGGTGTCACCTTACACATGACGAGACAAACCAGAGAGGTCAGCACAGCAGAAGCTCATGCAGCGACCAAGCAGCAGAGCCTGGATTCAAACCCGAGCCCTGCTGTGTGCAAGAACCCCTGGGACTCAGCTGTTCCTGCTCACAGCAGGCTGAGCACCAGAGCCACCTGGAGGGCCCATAATAGGCACCACTGTGCCCAGGCACGAGGCAGCCAAGTGGCACATGCCACCCGGGGAAGACAACTTGGTGGCAGGGAGAGCAGGTGGGCGGAGCCAAGAAGCCAGGCCAAGGCGCTCAGCACAATCCCTGAGGGGAACTCACCATACCCGGGTGCAGCCCTCAGACTCCCACCAGCCTTCATCAGTGGGTTTTGATGGTGACATGGGAGAGGGCCTGCCCACTCCCAGGTACAGCATAACTGAGGCACAGTCACTAAGCCTGCCCCACTGTAAGGCCTGGCTGTTGGCTGTGGAGAGAGGACAGCCCTGCAGACCCTGGCTCACTGCTCACCCCCACTCCAGGAGCTCCCACATCAGGGCGGGTAGAGCCCGCAGTCCTGTCGCAGATGCCCCTCACCGCACTGTCCTGTCATCCTGACTCCATAGTCCACGGGCGTCAGCAAGCCCTGGGAACACAGTTCACTCCCCTTTGTGGTCCTAGTGTTTAGGACCCAACACAGCTCCTCTAACCAAGGCACAACCTGAAATTCTCTCCTGCCCAGGACTGACAAGCTGGGACAAGGAAGGGACAGGGTTTCCATCAACTCATCCATCTGGAAGGAGTGTGAAGACATGGCCCCTTGTGGAGTTCTAGCTGGCACCCGCAGGGTCTACTCTGGTGGGGGCTACTTTTGTACGAGTCAAGATGCAACTGCTTTATTTTTTAGTTTTTTTTTGAGACAAGGTCACAACGTTGCCCAGGCTGGAGTGCAATGGCGTGATCTCGGCTCACTGCAGCCTCCGCCTCCAGGGTTCAAGTGATTCTTCCACCTCAGCCTCCCAAGTAGCTGGGATTACACGCGTGTGCCACCACACCTGGCTAATTTTTGCATTTTTAGTAGAGACAGGGTTTCACCATGTTGGCCAGGCTGGTCTCGAGCTCCCGACCTTAAGTGATCTGCCCGCCTGGGCCTCCCAAAGTGCTGGGATTACAGGCGTGAGCCACCAAGCCCGGCTGCAACTGCTTTAGAAAGAATTAATTAATCCTTCCACGTTGGGACCCACCTGGGAGCTGCTGGAAGCCTGGGGACGCTGCCCCAGTGTGGTGATGGGGGATGACCTGGCACTCAACTGCTTCCACCACTTCAGTGTCAGTTGAGGAGACTCCTGGGGCCGAGGACAAGGGACAGGCACAGAGGCTCCTCGGTGAAGGGCATGGGGGGCACTGCTCCCCCACTGGCCTCAGGAGCCTGCTTTTCAGAGCAGCAGGTGGGCTCTGGATTCTAGCAACGGACACACTGATCCTTAACCCTGGTTAGGATCTTAACACAGGGAGAACTGTACTTTATTGCAGCCACAGGGCTAACTGCTGGAGACAGACCCATGGGCCCTGGCCATTTCCACCACCCCAAAAACCTGCCCTTGTGCGTGGTATCAAGGACAAACAAATCACAAGCGCACAAATCTGATGAGTGCCAGGTGGGGTGCACATTTGGGAAGATGCCCCCACGTGGCTCTGAAGGCTCTTCCTGGGGGAGGCCTGCTCTCAGCTGCCTGCTCCTTCGGGAATTCAAACCCCAGGCAAAGGCAGCTGACCCCAGGCAAAGGCAGCTGGCCCCAGGCCAGAGAGGTCCTGGCTTCCCAACCTTGAGCTGTGCAGTCATTACCTAGGTGCAGGCTGGGCTACAGGGACAGCCAAGCTGAGCAAGGACAGGTCCCCGCAGCCTAGACTGGGGCACCGCTTCGTTCTCGGTCTCACTCCCCGCTGTGCCGTGCTTTGCCTGTGAGACGGCGGCGCTGGGCCTTGCTGGTACGAGGGGCCCTTGGGGGCTTTTTGGAGTCCTGGGCCCGTCGGGGATGTTTCCTCTTGACCTTTTTGCGGCTGTGTGCATGTAGTGATGCTGTGAGGGAGGAGATCCTAGGGGAGGGCAGAAAGCCTCAGTTTAAGATTGCATTGTGGGGTGACTCACCACCTGGCTCACGGAGGGGATGTCAGGACAGGTTGCGAATGCCAGGACCGCCAAGTTCATGCCAGAGTTGGCCTGCTCTACCTCCAGAGTGCCTGCCAGCAACTCAGCTCAGAGACACAGGCCCTTCACCCAGGCACGAAAAGCACTGGAGGTCAGACACTATCAGGGGTGGGTGGGACAGGACGGGGCAATGAGGAGAGGCAGAGGATCACTGGACAGGCAGAGGGCTGCTCCGGGCCCTACACCTGCTCCACACCACCCTAAGGGCCAGGTCACTACTGCCAGCCAGGAGGGGTGGGACCGGGGAGGCAGCAGGCCAAGACTCACCGCTGAGAGAGCAGGGGGTCTCTGGACTTCCTGGGCAAGGCTTTGGTTGGTTTCTCCGTGGATGACGCCTCCTCCTCAGACCTGTCTCCAGCCCCTCCCTAAAGAGGCACAAGACAATGACTTACATGGAGCAGTAGCTGGGGGGACCTGGGCTGGGCACCCCGAGCCACCATGGCTCTGGCAAGTGGTGGCGCGCCCTGCTGCATCACAGGCCTGGGTTGGGACTAGAGAAGGCTTCTGATGGAAGAAGTCTATCTGCCCTAAAGCAAGGATTACACAGGGGAAGGTCTGTTTCCAAACCCTTTCCTGCCCCTAGAAGCTTCCAGGACATACTTAAACATTCAGGAATGAAAATCCTAGCAAAACGGGGACAAGACTTGTCTTTGTATCAGAACTTGCAGAATAGTGAGCATAAAATGAAAGACCGGTGTGAGATCAGTATGGTTTTGTTTTGTTTTGTTTTTTGAGATGGAGTCTCGCTCTGTCACCCAGGCTGGAGTGCAGTGGCACAATCGTGGCTCACTGCAACCTGCGCCTCCTGAGTTCAAGCAATTCTCCTGCCTCAGCCTCCCGAGTAGCTGGGATTACAGGTGCACGCCACCATGCCTGGCTAAGTTTTTTTTGAGACGGAGTTTTGCTCTTTTTGCCCAGGCTGGAGTGCAATGGCACGATCTCGGCTCACCACAACCTCCACCTCCCAGGTTCAAGCTATTCTCCTGCTTCAGCCTCCCGAGTAGCTGGGATTACAGGCATGTCCCACCACACCCAGCTAATTTTGTATTTTTAGTAGAGACAGGGTTTCTCCACGTTGGTCAGTCTGGTCTCGAACTCCCAACCTCAGGTGATTCGCCCGCCTCGGCCTCCCAAAGTGCTGGGATTACAGGCATGAGCCACTGCGCCTGGCCCCCTGGCTAATTTTTTTACTTTTAATAGAGACGGGGTTTCACCATGTTGGCCAGGCTGGTCTCAAACTCCTGACCCCAGGTGATAACGCCCGCCTTGGCCTCCCAAAATGCCGGGATTACAGGCGTGAGCCACCATGCCTGGCCCTGAGATCAGTATGGATGTGATAGGGGAGTGGCTCCAGGACTTAAGAACACAGTAACCCACACAAGGAAATGTGTTTTATATCGTAATTGTGTGCATATATGTCCATAAATCCTTAGGCACACCCAGATACAACTCCAGTGGAAACAGCTGTCTCATGAAACAATATTTAACATGACACTTTCGGATATTTTCAATTATATTTTTTTTTTATGCTGATTGCAACCTACTCATGATTCACAACCCACAGGTTGAAAACCCACTTAGTGCACACAGACGTGCCAGGGCTGCGAATCGCACAAAGGGAACGATCACAACAAACGGCTACCTTTTGTGAAGCACTTATGACAGGGCTGGGCACTGTGCCAGGTGACTCACATGGATTAACCACTTTCACCCTCATACCAATCCCACAAGGCAGGTGCCACCATCAGCAACCCCCAGTTCACTGATGGAGAAAGGGAAGCAGGCAAGGTGAAGGAGCCTGCCCAAGCTCCTCAGCCGCTCAGCAGTGGGGCTGGTCTTTGCAGCACCCCGGAAGCAGGGAATGAAGGGTCCAAAGGGAAGGAGCCCCAGCAGTGGGGTACCCACAACATGGGCCAGCACTGAGCAACCCCGACAAGCCAGTCTGCCCCCACGCCCCTTCTTCCCAGGGCTGGCAGTGGGATACCCATGACATGGGCCAGCACTGAGCAACCCTGACAAGCTGGTCTGCCCCCACGCCCCTTCCTCCCAGGGCTGAGACTGGGACCCACCTCAGGTGGGGTCAGCCCGAGCAGCCGGGCCCCCGAGAGGTCCAGGTCACTGATGGTGGTCACGGTGACTGTGTGGTTGGGGTGGTCATACTGCACCGACTCCGTCTTTGCTGTCACCAACCGGTCCAGCTCATCTGCCTCCTCTGTGGGGGTGGACACAGACCTGGTCTCAGTCACGGGAACGAGTGACCAGGCTCCAGCCTCCCTCCCGCCCTGGAGTGCAGTGCCCCCTCTACTCTGTGGACGTGGAGCGCATCCACAAGGTCACTGGCTGTAGAGCCTGGTCTGTGGATGAATGTTGTGAATGATCCCGTTTCCTTCATGCTCTAGCTGGTCCCCATGTCAGACAAACCCTCTGTGACAGCTACTGCTGTCCCTCCCCTCCACCCCTAGTCCTTTCCATCCTTAAAAACTGGGCTCTCTTCTCAGGCTTGGTTAACCATGGGGTTTGGGACTCCTTCTCCTGGTCTCTGTTCCACTTGCACTTAGAGGTGCTTAGGACCACCCCTGGCCCCAGGGTACCCCCCAAGATCCCTAGGGCCAAGGAGGTCAGCTTCTATCCCTTCCACCCACCAAGGGTATAAACCAGGCCCATCAGCTGTTCTCCAGGTCAGGCCAAGCATGCCACTTACCCAGAGCCTCTTCTCTCTCTGCCAGCATCTTCAAGTATTCCTGGTGGCGCTGAAACCACACAGGCAGGGAACACAGTGAGTATGGCCTCTCAGTCCAACCTCAGGCTGGGGTATTAATCACCCCCAGGGTGAGGGAGACCATGATCCATACTGCAAGATCAGGAGGAGACTCCATCTTCCATCACTCCCAGACCCGGGCCCACAGAGTCTCCACCTGTATAAACTATTCCCCAGTCCTGCCCACACACACATCGCCCCATGCCAGCAGCTGCCTCTATTAGGGAAATCCAAGGCTGCAAGTGCCCTAAGAATCAAAGACCTCCCTCCCACCTTCCCCCTGCGTACCTCCTCCCGAAGCTTCCTCTGCTCCTCTTTCAGCCGCTGCTTAATCTCCTCAATGGCTGCCTTCTTTCGCTCGACCTTCCGCTTGTGGAAGCCTGTCAGGTACTCCCTACAGGAAGGAAGCCGGCAGAGACAGGAGAGTCATTATACAAGGAGAGAAGGGCTCGCTCTAGGAGAAAAATGGCTAATGCCGCGCTCACTATGTGCTAGGCACCATTCCAAAAAAGTGTAAGTATTAGCTCATTTAACCTTCACAACAATGGCCAGGCATGGTGGCTCACGCCTGTAATCCCAGTACTTTGGAAGGTCGAGGTGGGAAGATCACATGACGCCAGGAGTTCAAGACCAGCCTGGCAAACATGGTGAAACTCCGTGTCTACTAAAAACACAAAAATTAGCTGGGCTTGGTGGCGCATGCCTGCAGTCCCAGCTACTTGGGAGGCTGAGCGGGGAGAATTGCTTGAACCTGGGAGGCGGAGGTTGCAGTGAGCCGAGATCATGCCACTGCACTCCAGCCTGGACGACACAGACTCCATCTCAAAAACAAACAAAAAACCCTCACAATAACCTGTGCGGTGGGTATCAATCTCCATTTTACAGATGGGAACGTTGAGTCACAGAGTCTAGGTTACTTGCCCAAGGTTAGAGAAAGGATACATTTAGGAAAATAAGGGAGATACTGCCTCTTTCCACTCAATACTCTCCAGGGATCTCAGGTTCAGGCAACAGGGCCAGGCTGTGGGGCGGGTGGGGGGGGGGGCCACACACAGTACATGAGGTAACCCCTTCCACACCTACAAACCTCATTACTCTCTCAACAGGGTTTTCAGGGCCACCACCATCCAGACCTTCGGAAACCCTGCACTGGACCAACACCCATGTCCCCAGGACACCTGACCCTAAACTCGCCTGTAGGGCCTGTTGATGCACGCTAGGAGTTTCCTGATGATGCCCAGCATTTCCCTACCTCCTTCCCTCGGTCTAATCTCAGCCCCTTCTCATCTCCACAGTGCTAGCTGCTCTGTTCCCATTTTGTCCCACGGTCCAGCACTGGGCTTTTCGCTGACCCGCTACCATGTGCCATTTATTTATCTGGCCAGACGCTGAGGCTCAGAGGTTCTGCTTCCTGATACGGGACCTGGCACACCAAAGGAGCCCAATAAATGTCTAGGGAGCGAATGAATGAACTTAAGCCACTCTCATTTCATTGGCTCATCATTTATCAACCACGGCTGGGCGCCTGCTGTGTGCCGGACCGATGGACTGGGCTGGGCTAGGGTGGTCGAAGCCACTGCTCTGAGACCCGAGCTTCCGGCTATCTGGCGGCGCACAGACACTAGGCGAGGTGGGGAGGTCAAGAAGGGAGAAGGTGGCGGCCGAGAAGGGAGAAGCGGGAACGCGGGCTGGAAGGCCGAGAGGGGTTCTCTAGCCACGCCAGGGGGCGGGACCGGAAGAGCCCCCGGCGGGAGCGTGCTCGGCCCCAGACCTGGCCTTGGCCGCGAAGAACAGCTCGAGGGGAGTCCGGTCCGGCTTTGCCACTCACCGCCTCTTCTCCTCGTCGAAGCTAAGAACGAGCCTCGGCCGCCGGTCGTCACCATCTCGCTTCTTCTTCTTGTTGCGGCCCATAGCAGTGAGGCCGCCGGCTTCCTCTCCCTGAAGACACTTCCGGGTGTAGCGTACTCATCCTCCCGGGCGCACACTTTAGCGTCGCACCGAAGTTCCGTCCACCAGGCCCAGCCTTTTAAAGGGACCTCCCAGCTCCTTTTCTTCCCTCTTCCCATGCATGACGCGCTGGTCCCTGATCTCTCCGTGACTCCCAGCTCCAGCCCCTCCCCAGCCTCGCTTCAATGAGAGCGAGGTCCCCTGGACCCCACTGCCTAGGACTGTGCCTGGCACACACTCAATATGGAGTTACTCGTGAATGGCCCAAATTTCCTGTACTAACCCTACTTTGGATATTTTTTTCCTTTAATTTATTATTATTGCTTTTGAGATGGAGTCTCGCTCTGTCGTCCAGGCTGGAGTTCAGTGGCGGATGTCGGTTCATTGCAATCCCTGCCTCCCAGGTTCAAGCAATTCTCCGCCTCAGCCTCCTGAGTAACTGGGATTACAGGTGTGCGCCACCATACTCCCTAATTTTTGCATTTTTAGTAGAGACAAGTTTTCACCATGTTGACCAGACTGCTTGAACTCCTGACCGCAAGTGGTCCTCCCATCTCGGCCTCCCAAAGTGCCGGGATTACAGGCGTGAGCCACCGTGCTGGCCCCTACTTTAGATGCTGATGTCAACTCGTTGGTAGTCTCCAAGAGGGAGCCAAACTGCCTGGATTTGTATACTGGCATCACACCTACAGCTGTGTGGTCCCAGACCAATGGTCTTCGCGGTGCCTCACCCTATTTGTAAAATAAGGGAAAGTATAGTAGCTTCGTAGGGTTGTTGTAGACACTGGTTCTGGAACTTTGGCATACATCAGAATCCCCTAGAGGGCTAAAAACCTGGATCGCTGGGCCCCACCCCGGAGTTTCTGATCCGATAGAGGTTTCTGAGTGGATTTCCGTTTCTAGCAGGTTCTCAGGTGATGCTAATGCTGCTGGTCCGTGGACTAAACCTTGACAGCTGTGATTGTGAGGAAGTTAATTATGTAAAGTTTGTCTAACATAAGGCACGCATACATGTGTTTTCTGCACAAGCCATCTTCCCTCTTTGTGCCTCACTTTGCCCAAAGGTGGAATGAGTGTATAATAACATCCTTGACTGAGAATGAGGGCATGGTTGTGAAAGATTGCAGTGAAACAACGCCTGAAGGGGATTTTTAGTCACTTGGATTGTATGCCAGAATCCTTCATCCGCTTTTTTTTTTTTTTTTTCTGAGACAGAGTTTCGCTCTTGTCACCCAGGCTGGAGTGCAGTGTTGTGATCTCGGCTCACTGCAGTCTCCGCCTCCCAGGTTCAAGCAATTCTCCTGCCTCAGCCTCCTGAGTAGCTAGGATTACTGGCACCTGCCAGCACGCCCAGCTGATCTTTGTACCCTGACTCTGAGTTTTGGAAGGAGGCAGGCAGTAAGTGCAGCACTCCAGAATGCTGAATTCATTCCATACAGCTCCTCTGCTTGGGAAATCTATGTGGGATCCTGAGAGGAAGTTACCTTTTTTTTTTTGAGACGGAGTTTCACTCTTGTTGCCCAGGCTGGAGTGCAATGGCACGATCTCGGCTCACTGCAACCTCCGCCTCCCAGGTTCAAGCGATTCTCCTTCCTTAGCCTCCCTAGTAGCTGGGATTATAGGCATGTGCCACCATGCCCGGCTAATTTTGTATTTTTAGTAGAGATGGGGTTTCTCCGTGTTGGTCAGGCTGGTCTCAAACTCCTGACCTCAGGTGATCCACCCACCTCGGCCTCCCAAAGTGCTGGGATTACAGGCGTGAGCCACCGCGCCCAGCTGGAAGTTACCCTTAAACTACAGGCCTGGCCTTTCAGTTCTGTGGCCCAGAGCAATGCAGGGGGCTCCCTTAGGGTGCTGGACTGCACCTCTGACCAGCTGCTTCTGCCCCTTAGTGGCAGTGCCTTAAAGCCACCCTTGGCACCTTCCTGGGTAGAGGCATCACCCTGGCTGAAGGTGCCCAGAGAGTCACCTTCTGCAGCTGGTCTGTCTCCTCCCAGTCCCAGGCTTCGACCTGCTTGGTTTGCCAGGGCTCCACTCCCACCCAGAGTGGTTGGAGATGAAAAGTGAAGGCTCAAGCCGGGCGCGGTGACTCACACCTGTAATCCCAGCACTTTGGAAGGCTGAGGCGGGAGGATCACGAGGTCAAGAGATCGAGACCATCCTGGCCAACATGGTGAAACCCCATGTCTACTAAAAATACAAAAATTAGCTGGGCATGGTGGCACACGCCTGTAGTCCCAGCTACTTGGGAGGCTGAGGCAGAAGAATCACTTGAACCCGGGAGGGTTGCAGTGAGCCGAGATTGCGCTGCTGCACCCCAGCCTGGCGACAGACAGTAGAGCAACATAGTAAGACCCTGTCTCTACAAAAAATTAAAAATTAGCCAGGCGTGGTGACATACTCCTATAGTCCAGCGACTTGGGAGGCTGAGGTGGGAGGATCACTCAAGCTCAGAAGTTTGAGGCTGCACTGCAGCTGTGATCATGCCACTGCATTCCACCCTGGGTGACAGAGTGAGACCCCATCTCTGAAAAAAAAAAAGAAAAAAAAAAAAAACAGGCCAGGCGCAGTGGCTCATGCCTGTAATCCTAGCATTTTGGGAGGCCAAGGTGGGTGGATCAATTGAGGTTCGGAGTTCCAGACCAGCCTGACCAACATGATGAAACCCCATCTCTATTAAAAATATGACAATTAGCCGGGCGTGGTGGTGCATGCCTGTAATCCCAGCTACTCGAGAGGCTGAGCTACTCGAGTAATCACTTGAACCCAGGAGACAGAGGTTGCAGTGAGCCGAGATCCCGCCACTTCACTCTAGCCTGGTCAAAAGAGCAAAACTCTGTCTCAAAACAAAAAACAAAAACAATAAGAAAAGAAGTGATGATAAACTTAATGAGGAAAAAGAGTAACAAGAGCAGCTGACATTTATTTAGCTCTTTACTCTCTTTAGATTATTGATTTTATTATTTATTTATTTATTTATTTATAGAGATGAGGGTCTCACTATGTTGCCCAAGCTGGTCTCAAACTCCTGGGCTCAAGCGATCCTCCCCATTCAGCTTCAGGAGTAGCTGGAACCACAGGTGCCCACCACTGTGCCTGGCTTATGATGATCTCTTTTGAGGTACAATCCACATTTTACTGAGGAGGAAACTGAGGCTCAGAGAGGTGCAGTCACTTGTCTGAGGTCACACAGGCAAAAACAGGTGCTGAGGGTGGGGCGCAGGTGGCCTAAGGACAGAGATTGACTTAACTTATCTGGACCTAGTTTCCTAGGCCCTTGGGACACACCAAGCCTTAAAAGGGGTGAAGGGAACCAACACTCACCGAGCCCCTATTGCGTGCCAGGCACCATGCATTTCTATACATCACCTCAGCTAATCTTTTTTTTTTTTTTTTTTTTTTGAGACGGAGTCTTGCTGTGTCGCCCAGGCTGGAATGCAGTGGCATGATCTCGGTTCACTGCAACCTCCTCTTCCCGGGATCAAGTGATTTTCCTGCCTCAGCCTCCCCAGTAGCTGGGACTACAGGCATGCACCACCATGCCCGGCTAATTTTTGTATTTTTAGTAAAGACGGGGTTTCACTTGTTGGCCAGGCTGGTCTCAAACTCCTGACCTCAAATGAATCTCCTGCCTCAGCCTCCCAAAGTGCTGGGATTACGGGTGTGACCCACCACACCCAGCCAATACTAGTGCAGTCTTTTTTTTTTTTTGAGATGGAGTCTCGCTCTGTCACCCAGGCTGGAGTGCAATGGCGCAATATCGGCTCACTGCAACCTCTGCCTTCCGGGCTCAGGCGATTCTCCTGCCTTAGCCTCTTGAGTAGCTGGGATTACAGGCACGCGCCACTGCGCCCGGCTAATTTTTTTTTTTTTTTTTTTTTTGAGACGGAGTCTCGCTCTGTCGCCCAGGCTGGAGTGCAGTGGCGGGATCTCGGCTCACTGCAAGCTCCGCCTCCCGGGTTCACGCCATTCTCCTGCCTCAGCCTACCAAGTAGCTGGGATTACAGGCATGCACCACCATGCCCGGCTAATTTTTTATATTTTTAGTAGAGACGGGGTTTCTCCATGTTGGTCAGGCTGGTCTCGAACTCCCGACCTCAGGTGATCCACCCGCCTCGGCCTCCCAAAGTGCTGGGATTTACAGACGTGAGCCACCATGCCCGGCCTAATTTTTGTATTTTTAGTAGAGACGGGGTTTCGCCATGTTGCCCGGGCTGGTCTCGAACTCCTGACCTTAGGTCATCCACCCACCTCGGCCTCCCAAAGTGCTGGGATTACAGGCGTGGGCCAGCGTGCCTGGCCAACTAGTGCAGTCTTAACAAAGTTTGCCAGATGAGGAAACTGAGGTTCAGAGACGTTGAATAACTGGTCCAAGGGCACACAGCCACAGAGCTGGGGTTTAAACACAGGTCTGTCTGACGCTGAGCCGGGCTTCCTTCCTCCACACCCAGTGGCCTCTCTTACCTGCCCCAGGACTTTCCTCTGCCCGGTTGTGGCCCCAGTCCTAGTGTCCTGTGAGTGTCAGCCAGTGTAGGGGAGAATCAATGTGGGTGAACTGAGGACAAGGCAGGGCAGCCTGGGGGACGTGTTCTCCAATGTCCAGCAGAGGGCACTCCATCTGCAGCCAGGCTTCTGAAGCTGTTTCTGGGTGGCCACCTGGGAGCCCCAGGAGAGCCTGGAGATTGGGTGTGGCTCATGGGAGTTCTCAGCATGTGTGTTCCATCCTCTTTGACCTCATAGAGAGATACATGACCCCCGCTTCCACCCAGGTCCCAGGGCACCCACTGAGATGGAAATCATCTACCCAAAATGGGTCTCATTTTATGGATGAGGAAACTGAGGCTGGGTGTATAAGAGACCTACTCACAGCTGGTGCCAGTTGCCCTAGAAAGTGAGATTTGCCAAGACCCCCCCACCCACGCACCATGCCTCAGGAGACTGTGCCTTGGGGTTATGGGGGAGCCTAATGATGTTCTCATTCTAACCTTCTGAACTTTGGCTCAGTTCCTGCAGCTGGTTCCCAGAGAGGTAGGGGCCCTGGGAAGATCTGACTGCAGCAGCAAGCAGGAAGGAAAAGGTGCAGGGAAGTAGTCAGTCTGCAGGGCACCCTAGCCGTCCACTCAGGCCCCAGCAGTTGTGATGGGTGGGTTTGATGGGGTTGGGTTAAGCATTACCCTCCAAGGTAACAGCCTGGGCTGGTCTTGGAGGAGACACTGTCTTTGGAAACCAGGAGAGAACAGGCTCATGGAGACCTCATCTCAGGTTGAGTGAGTCACCCCTACTCTGTACCCCAAGGAGGAGGCTGCGGGAGTCTGGAGGCTGGGCCTCATGTTGGCTGGCTTTTACCTCTTGGTTCTCTGCAGAGGCTGACGTAGCCCCCAACCCCAGCTCCTCCTACCACAGAAACGGGCTGGCAATGGGGTGCCAGGGTCATCACCCAAACCCACTGTTGGGGTGGGGGCATCTGCCCAGGAATGAGAGCCGGCAGCTTCCAGACTAGTCCTTTGGTTGCCCATACAGTCTAGCAAAGTGGGGTGCATGGCCTGAGCCCACAAAGCCGGGATCCCTGAGGAGCCCCGCAGGCTCAGCTGGACCTGGTACAGATCCGGGAGTCATTTCATCAATCAGAGCCCATTTCTTCCCCTTCAATTGGAGTAATAGCACCTCAAAAGTGGTGCAGGGATCTGGGTACGGTGACACACACCTGTGGTCCCAGCTACTCAGAAGGCTGAGGCAGGAGTATTGCCTGAGCCCAGGACTTTGAGTCTGCAGTATGCCATGATCATGCCTGTGAACAACCACTGCACTCCAGCCTGGGCAACATAGGAAGACCCCCATCTCTAAAAAAATAAAAATAAAAAAAAAAATAATCCGTGCACGAGGTATGGGAAACCACTATCCACTAAGCATTTACCATATGCCAGGTATTGAACTTGGCTTCTTTCATGCAACACCTCATTTAATCTCCACTTGATCTCAGCCAGAAGGCCAAGAAGTGACTGGTCTTTGGAACAACTCTTTGATAGGCTGTTTGTGTTATCCTCCTTGTTATAAAGGAATAAGCTGAGGTTCAGAGAGGTCAGTTAACATGCACAAGGCCACATAGCTGGCAGCCCGTTGTTGTCTGACTCCAAATCTCTTTCTAGCTCATGAAGGCAAATGAGAGGGGTCTCGTATTCTTCCCTCCACCTCCCTGTCTTCTGCCCCGTCACTACACACGAATTGGTCTGTCCTTGCCTCTTTCCCCCTTGATGTCATTTATGCAACATCCTTTGAGCATCTGCTGTGTGCTAGGGCCCACTAGGCTAAAAACAGTTTCAGGGCAGGGACTGACTTTTATTCAGTGGTCACTGACCCTCCTACTATGTGCCAAACTCTGTGTGCTTTGTCTGGGGGACCCAGCGGAAGACGTCATTGGAACTGAGGAGGTACCCGTGGACAAAGCGAATGGAAGTGAAGGAAGGGGGCAGGCCTGGAGGTGGGGGACCCCTCTCACACACACAAACACATGCACACACATACACACACACGCACAAGCACACACACGAGGCTGGTTCAGAGGGAGCAGAGGCAGCTGCCTTTATTGGGGGCCATGGGCTGGCTGATTTCAGTCAAAGGCCACACATTTGATCTTGAAGTCACCGTCAGCTGCCATGTAGTTGATGGCCTCCAGGTTGAGGCGGTTGGGGAACTTGAATTCGTATCCATCTGGCAGCTTGACGGTCAGGTTGGCCTGGTCGAAGGTGATGCACACCTGGGGGTAGAGGAGAGCAGTGAGCCGGGCCCACATGCCATGGGCCCTTCCAGAACCCGTTCCTCATGTGGCCCTGACACAGCCCCAGTTTGTGGCTGAGCCTGCGGAGGTACATTTATAATATTTTTTCTTTCTTTTTACTCTAATCCTATGATAGATTTTTTTTTTTTTTTGAGATGGAGTCTCCTCTGTCGCCCAGGCTGGAGTACAGTGGCATAATCTCGGCTCACTGCAACCTCCGCCTCCCAGGTTCAAGTGATTCTCCTGTCTCAGCCTCCTGAGTAGCTAGGACTACAGTTGTGTGCCACCACGCCCAGCTAATTTTTGTATTTATATAGAGACGGGGTTTCACCATGTTGGTCAGGCTGGTCTCGAACTCCTGACCTCAGGTGATCCACCCACTTTGGTCTCCCAAAGTGCCAGGATTACAGGCATGAGCCAGCACGCTGGCTAATTTTTTTTTTTTTTTTTGAGACAGAGTTTTGCTCTTGTTGGCCAGGCTGGAGTGCAGTGGTGCAATCTCGGCTCACTGCAACCTCCGCCTCCCGGGTTCAACCAATTCTCCTGCCTCAGCCTCCTGAGTAGCTGGGATTACAGGCATGCGCCATCACGCCTAGCTAATTTTTTGTATTTTTAGTCGAGACAGGGTTTCTCCATGTTGGTCAGGCTGGTCTCGAACTCCCGACCTCAGGTGATCCGCCCGCCTCGGCCTCCCAAAGTGCTGGGATTACAGGCATGAGCCACCAAGCCCAGCCTTTTTTTTTCCCCTTCGTTTTATTGTAATCAACCACTGAGGTTCAAAGAGGGGCAGACACTGGCCATCACACAGGAAGGGAGGGAAGGGGAGGGGAAAGAGCAGGCAGGGCCAAGGTCTCTAGTCACTAACCCAGCCCCGCCCCAGCCCACCCAGCCCCTGTCCCTGGTCCCCGGTTCCGGTCTGCAGCCCACCTCTGCAACACTTCCAGGCTGGAAGGGAAAGACAGCCTCCCGCTGCTCGGTCCCCCAGGCCCCGCCGTCCTTGCTGTTGCACACGATGGTGTTGGCGTCGCCGTGGGCGTTGAAGCGAGGGTTGAAGTGCAGGCACAGGTTGTTGCTGTCTTTGCCCAGGTTCAGCACGAAGCTGGGGGGTAACGGGTGGGCATGAGGCCACCTCGGCCAGCTCCAGCCCCACTGACCGACTAATCTGTCACTCAGTATCCCATGAACGCACCTTGCTGGAAGAACTCACTAACAGAGACAAGAAACCTGGATTCTAGCTCTGGCCATGCCACCTGCTCCTGCCCCTCTTCCCCTGTTTGCTCATCTGTACAATGGGGGCTGCACAGGAGGGCTCGCTTGATTCTTGAAGTCATTAGCATCCTAGCCCGTTTGGTCAAGGTCAGTGACTCCCTCCAGATGGTGACCTCCCGTCCTGTCTTGTACATCTCTGTATTCCCGGTGCCCAGCACAAGTGGGGCACACCAGAAAAAGATGCTTAGTAATTATGGGGCGAATTAACAAATAATAATAATAATACTCCCGGGCACGGTGGCTCATGCCTGTAACCCCAGCACTTTGGGAGGCCGAGGCGAGCGGGCAGATCATGAGGTCAGGAGTTCGAGACCAGCCTGGCCAACATGGTGAAACCCCGTCTCTACTAAAAGTACATAAATTAGCTGGGCGTTGTGGTGGGCCCCTGTAATCCCGGCTACTCAGGAGGCTGAAGCCGGAGAATCGTTTGAACCCGGGAGGCGGAGGTTGTGGTGAGCCGAGATCACGCCATTGCACTCCAGCCTGGGCGACAGGGTGAGACTGTGTCTCAAAAAATAAATAAATAAAATAATAAAATAATAAATAAATAAATAAAATAATAAATACATTTGTTGAGTGGTGATAATAGCAATACCTGCCTCTGAGGGTTTGGTTGAAATGAAATTAGTGCATGAGAAGTGTGCGGCTCTTAACAATATCAGCTGATCCTCATCCTCCTCACTGTCACTGCGCCAGCCGCATCTCACTTCCTCCACACAACCACCTCCCCCCTTGTTTTTCTAACAAACTGAGGCTAGGTGAGGTTGGTTGACTGGTCCAAGGTCACCTAACTGCCGAGAAAATAAGGCAGCCGTCTGAGTGAATGAGAAGTGAAGGAAGAAGGACCGGACTGAGCCAGTGAATGAATGAATGACCAGACGCAGGAAGGAGGGACTCAGGGGGAAGGCGGCGGTGACGCCCGCCCCACTCCTCTCCCCGCCCTCCCCAGCGACAGGTCCCGCCCAGACCGGAAAGGGGTGGGGGCGGGGGAGTCAAGGTATTACAGATGACGAGGCTGCAGCTGGTTTAGTTTAAGAGGCTACAGCAGGGAGGGAGCGGGGGAGGGGGCGGCAACGGTGGGGGCGCCCAGACCCTGCGGGGGAAGTGAGTCACCCAGAAAACGCAGCATCGGCGGCTGGCCGTTAACCCGCTCCCGGCCAGGGAGGAGATGTGGGCTTGGCCGGCCACGCCCTCCCTGCTGGACCAAGCCCGTCCCTGCCGCCCACCACCCCGACTTCACTTCTCACCTCTTAGCGTCAGGAGCCACCTCGCCTCGCACTCGAAGGCACTCTCCAGGTTTGAGATTCAGGTTGCTGGCGACCAGACCCTGCACAGACAAGCCCCGGCCCAGCCGGGTTAGAGGACAAGGCCTCCACTGCTCGAAGTGTCCGGGGGTGGCTGGGGGTGGGAGTGGGGTTGTTCCCGCCCGGCATCCTCTGACCAAGCCAAGGGGAAGCCTGGGGAAAGGATTGAGCTGTAATTTCCAGCCTCCGATTGTCTATGTGGTCCTGGGAAAGTCCCTATTCCCACCGGGGTTGGCTTCAGTCTGTAACGTGAAGGTTCTAGAAGACAGGCTCTAGAAGATTTTGCAGATTGGCTTGGGAATTTTGGACTCAAGAGTGACTTGGGAGATGGGGTGCTCTGTCCCATCGCAGATGGAGAGGATCAGGCTGGGGAGGGGCCGACACTTGGCCCACCGTCACACTGAATGGAGGGGCCGGCCCCTCTGCTGGAGAGGAAGTGGCTAGGGGCGGGCGACCCCACTATTCTCCTTCAAGCCCCTCTCTGCAAAGAGGCCCAGGGGCTAGAGAGGAGACCCTGAAAAACACGGCCTCTCTGCATTAGGGAGAATAGCCCTGCAGTCGGGCTGTGGCTGGGCTGGCTCAGGGTTAACAAGATTGAGCAAACTGCTGGGCACTGCTGTTCCCTGGCACCCCGAGTGGGTGGGCAAGAGTTAACTGGTTTGAGTGGTTTCTTCTGCCAGAAACTTGAACCCTTTCCCTGGGGCCCGAGGAAGATTCTCACCTCCCTGCCACCCCAACCTCCCAGCTTGGGGGTGGTGGAAGGGAATTTCCCCCGCCCCCCCCGCCACCAGCCTGGACACAACCACCCTCCACCCCCGACCTAGAAGGGCCCATCCTGGGCAGCTTGTCTCGGGTCCTGGCAACTTTTCAGCGTTCTCTGGAGCAGAGGGTAACTCTGCCCTGGCCTGGTGACCGGGACAGCTGCAGGGGGGAGGGGACAGGAGGCTCTTTGGGGTGGAGGAGGGGGAAAGGGATAGTGGCCTGGGTGTCCCCCAGTTGGCCACACCCTTCCCACGCTCACTTCTCAGAGAGCTGCAGAATGTCAACCCTGGGCAGAAATAACTGTGCTTTCAGACCCTGGAGGAATCCAGACAATTATCAATGCAGAGAAGGCCTTGAGGGACCATGGCGCCCACCCCCATTTTACAGATGTGGCCACTGAGGTCCAGAAAAGAGAAGGCACTGGTTCCAGGCCACACAGCTGGGGCTAGAATCTGCTCCCGATCTGCCCAGCTCTCCTCTGGCCATCAGTTCCTGCCCTATCCCCTGGACCTTGGGGGGGGGTCCCCACACTCACACAAGCCATGATTGAGTCCAGGAGGATGTTCCCGGGCAGGCGCACCAGCTGTCAGAAGACTCCACCCGAGAGAGATGGGCCCCCGGACGCTCCCACCCTTTTAACTGGACCGGACCGGGTGAGCCCCGCCCCCTGAAAGTTCAGCCAATTGCAAGTCAGGATAGGGCTGGGGGCCACTGGGGGCGGAGTCCGTGGAATTTTGAAGCCAGTTTTGGAGCAGAGGTGACCAATCAGAGTGGCGAGCTGCTGCCCCCCCTCACCCCGCCGCCCCCGGCCAGAGTCCAAGCTCCACCTCCTATTCTCCTTCATCCCTCTCCACCTCCCCACCAAAATTGTGCTGTGGCAGAGATTGGGGGAAGCCAGTGGAAAATAGTTTGATGATGAGCTAGGCCCACAAGTTGGCGGGAAGGGGCCTGTGGCCAGCAGGCTGGGCTCAGGGGGTGCCCAGAGAAGATGGCTGAGGAGGTGCAGGGTCCTTCAGGGAATCAGAGCTGGGGGAGACCAGGCCACTCCCGGGCAGGGACCAGGGCGTGGCTCCTGCTGCGTGCGCGTCTGCAGAGGGCCACTGACTTAACCACAGGCCCTGGCCCCACCCGGGCCTTCCCCGGAAGCAAGGACTGCGGCTGCTGCAGCGCTCTCTCGCTGGCTCCTCGGGAAGGCTAAAGAAAGGCTGGGCCGGGCGCCAAGCCTGAGGCTGCAGGGCTTGGCTAAGGCCTCGGGCTTGGCCGCGTTCAGGGGCAGGCAGGGGATAGTCAAAGCGCCCTGGCCTGACAGCCTCAGGCCTGAGAGTGTCAAGCTTAGGAGATGGCCCAGGGTGGTCCAGACCAGGAGGGGGTGGGGTCCTGGCTCTGTGCACCCTGTCCTTTCTCTTTTTTATTTTTATTTATTTATATATTTATTTTTGAGATGGAGTCTCGCTCTGTCGCCCAGGCTGGAGTGCAGTGGCGTGATCTCAGCTCACTGCAACCTCTGCCTCCCAGGTTCAACTGATTCTCCTGCCTCAGCCTCCCGAGTAGCTGGGACTACAGGCCCCCACCACCACACCCGGCTAATTTATGTACTTTTAGTAGAGACGGGGTTTCACCACGTTGGCCAGGCTGGTCTCAAACTCCTGACCTCAGTTGATCCACCCGCCTCAGCCTCCCAAAGTAATGGGATTACAGGTGTGAGCCACCATGCCTGGCCACCCTGTCTGCTCTCTTAACATCTCCTCTGAGGCCCGGCACAGCCCTCCCTTCCCTGAGTGTTCAGCAGGTATTTTACTGAGCACCTACTATGTACCTGGCCCTGGGCTCTGAGGATTCAAAGCTGAACCCCTCCCAGTCCCCACTCTCAAGGAGCGCATAGTTGGGGTGGAATCTGACCACAACCACGTTAAGAAGTAGATGATGGGCTGGGCGCAGTGGCTCACGCCGGTAATCCCAGCTCTTTAGGAAGCCGAGGCGGGCGGATCACCTAAGGTTAGGAGTTCGAGACTAGCCTGACCAACACGGAGAAACCCCATCTCTACTAAAAATACAAAATTAGCTGGGCATGGTGGCATATGCCTGTAATCCCTGCTACTCCTGAGGCTGAGGCAGGAGAATCGCTTGAACCCAGGAGGCAGAGGTTGCAGTGATCCGAGATCAGTCTATTGCACTCCAGCCTGGGCAATAAGAGTGAAACTCAGTCTCAATTAAAAAAAATAAAAAATAAAAATAAAAATAAAAAGAAGTAGATGATGATGGCTGTAAGGGAAGCCATGAGAAAGTGCTATGGTGGGCTGGCGGCTGCATGAGTAAAGGAGGTGGGTCGTGAAGGGTAGGCGGAGAAGTGCCTGGCTTTCCACCATGGGCAGAAGCTCCAGAATGAGAAGGCCAGGGCTGGAGAACAGTGTTCCGGGCATGTGGGGGAAAAACGGGGATGAGGCTGGGAAGCCAACAGGACCTGGACCATGGAGGGCCTCATGGGCTGGGCACAGGGCTTGGACATTGTTGTATGGGAGGAGGCTGGGGAGCCAGGGCTAGAGGGAGGGTGAGTACTGAGGCCAGATTTGGGCTCTAGGGAAGATCACTGTGGCAGAGAATTGAGGGTGGGTGGGAGGGGTGCTCACCTTACACTCAGGAACCTGGTGGAGGAAGGGGCGTGGGGAGCACTGGGCAAAATGAGGGGCATGCTGGGGGGTTGTCACGGGGACCTCCTTCTCCACCTGGCCGTCCCCCTTCTGAAACTGCTGGCACCAAAGAGGGACGAAGATGCGGACCAGGAGTGACTCACATCTGGAAGCCAGGCCAACACACCCACCCTGCCTCTCAGGGGCACCTTCCTCCAGATGCCCAAAGCCCACTCTGGTACAGGATGAGAGGGGAGTGTGTAGGGCCGCAAGGCGGACCCAGAGAGGGGATGGGGTTGCACCCCTGTGAGTGCCTTACCCCTCCTTCCAGACCAAGTGGCTGCTTGGAAACCAACCACAGCAGCTTCACTTTTTCCTCCGGGCCTCCCCAAAACCTCAACCATAGGAAGGGCTGGATGGGGCCCAGCCTAGTTCCACTGCCCCTCCCCCATGCCTCCCCTCTCTGCCAGATCAAGGAATGGGGCATCTCAGGCGGAGTCCTAGACCGAGGGTCAGAGGCGCTTCAGGTGTGGTCCTCGCCGGGCTGCGGGCGGGTGGGTGTGGCCACTTTCCCAGCCCAGCCCAATAATTGGGTTCTTGTAGCCTCAGGAGCTGCTCCTGCATCCTCCTCCACCCTGGAAAATGGGCCCGGCATCAGGGACTGTTTGCTGTTGGATGGAGGGACAATTTACTCCTCTGCAGCGTCTGGCATGAGTGGGGCTGGCAGGGAGGCAGGGTGGCATGGTGAAGAGGTCCCTAGAAAGGCCTATTTGGGAGTCTAGACACGCGGGTGCTGGCCCTGCTTGCTATGTCCCCTCAGAGCCTCCTGGCAAGCTGCTTCTCCCACTTGCCTCAGTCTCCCTATCTGTAAATTGGGGAGATGAAATCCTGCTTTCCTTGCACGAGGTGAATACAGGGTGGAACTGAGGTCTGTTGTACTAAACAGATGATTCGTGTTTTCATGGAGGCTCAGAAGGTTTTCACTTCCTTCTTGTCTCTTCCCAGGCTGTTACCTTCCCTAGGTCTTTGCAGCACCTCTGGGAGGTCTACATGTCATGCCCAACAGGTCCCCAACAGTCTCCTCTTGCCGAGGTTGGGGCAAGAAGTCTCTCCAGATTCCAGTGTCCCCTGTGACAGGAGCTGCGGTTTTCCTGGCGGGGAGGGAAGGCAGGGACACAGGTGCATCGTGGGCCTCCTCCCCCTAGTCCTCAGGGCCTCCTAGTGGCAGCGCCCACTTATCTTGCCAGGCCCTGTGCCCGGCGCCTTGCTTTCATTATCTCCCCTCTCATCTTCCCCTCGCCCCTACTTTGTGTCTGCCAACTTGGTTGAATTTCTGCACAGGGAAATGAAGCTGCAGTTAGAATCAGAAGAGGCCGGGCACGGTGGCTCATGCCTGTAATCCCAGCACTTTGGGAGGCTGAGGTGGGTGGATCACCTGAGGACAGGAGTTCGAGACCAGCCTGGCTAACATGGCAAAACCCCATCTCTACTAAAAATACAAAAATTAGCTGAGTGTGGTGGCGGGTGCCTGCAACCCCAGCTACTCAGGAGGCTGAGGCAGGGAGAATTGCTTGAATACAGGAGATGGAGGTTGCAGTGAGCCGAGATAGTGCCACTGTACTCCAGCCTGGGTGACAGAGCAAGACTCCATCACAAAAAAAAAAAAAAAGAATCAGGAGATGAGACGAGTGGTGAGTTCTGGTTTGGGGGCTGAGTGGCTGCAGCTGTAGCTGAGGTCCTTGGCTTCTCTGAACCCGTTTCCAGGCCTGGAAGATGGGAATAAGGCCACTGCTTGGAGGATGATAGGAGTGATGTCTAAGGAGGGGCTCGATGTTAGTGCTCCCTCCTGCATCCCCCAGGCTAAGGCCACCACCCCAGGGATTCTCCTCCCCACGTTATAACTGTCCTGAAATAGAGGCAGTGAGCTCTCTGGAATTCCTTTGTCCTGGGCTGGATCTTGGCTGCTGCCATGAGAAATGGGCTCAGCTTGGTCTAGACAAGTCATCCAGGCCAGCTCGGTCATTCCCGCCCTGCCAGGGACAGGGGGCAGAGGCGGGGAAAGGGAAGCTGTACCTCCTTCAGCTGGCGGTGCTGAAGGAGGGCGGCCCACAGAGGCGCCATCCACACCCGCAGCCAACCTGGGTGCTCCAGCCAGGGAAGGTAGGGGAGGTCAGAGCCAGCTTCTGAGTCCTAGAAGTCAGAGCAGGGAGGAACCCTGAGACACCGTGCCTGACCTGCTCCCCCATTTAATGATGCAGTTTAAGGTCGGGGAAACCACCCAGAGAGGGTGGCCACTTGACCAAAGTCACACAGGTAGCTAGGGCCGACCCGCTTTCATCTGCTGAACTAAAGATACCTGGGCTTGAAAAGCTATCTTTTCCCTCCTACTCTATGAAGGTGGGGGATGCCCCTGGCAACCTGGGCCCTTTTCCAGCCAGGTGGCACCTCAGCCCGCCCCTTCAACCCTGCTCATCCATTCTCACCTCCCAGCCTTTGTCCAGACAGCCCCCTCCACACCTGCCATTGGCCTTCCCACTTCTTGTCTGTATCTCTTCTGACTGCAGGCCTCAGCCCTCGGTTAGGGCCCCGCCGCTCCTCTCAGGTAAGGTCTGGGTGGGGGCCAGGTCCTTTCATTCACAGCCCTCCCAGACTCAGGCCTGAACCTTTACAATGCTTTTAGCATTTTATTTTATATTATTTTATTTTATATTTTATTATTTTACTTTTGAGACAGGGTCTCACTCTGTCACCCAGACTGGAGTGGATTATAGCTCACTATAACCTCAAACTTCTGGGATCAACCAATCCTCCTGACTCAGCCTCCTGAGGAGCTTGGACTGACTACAGGTGCACACCACTGGGCTTGGGTAATTTATTTTTATTTTTGGAGACACAGGATCTCGTTATGTTGCCCAGGCTGCTCTCTAACTCCTAGCCTCGAGCGATCCTCCCATCTTCGCTTCCTAAAGTGCTGGGATTACAGGTGTGAACCACTGTGTCCAGTGAGCATTTTATTTTGAAAATAATTATAGACACAAAGGAAATCTAAAAGCTTTTTAAGAGTTTAGAGTCTGGGCGCAGTGGCTCACACCTGTAACCCCAGCATTTTGGGAGGCTGAAGCGGGTGGATCATGAGGTGAAGAGATTGAGACCATCCTTGCCAACATGGTGAAACCCTGTCTCTACTAAAAATACAAAAATTAGCTGGGCATGGTGGCGTGTGCCTGTAGTCCCAACTACTTGGGAGGCTGAGGCAGGAGAATTGCTTGAACCAGGGAGGTGGAGGTTGCAGTGAGCCAAGATCGCGCCACTGCACTCCAGCCTGGCGACAGAGTGAGACTCTGTCTCAAAAAAAAAAAAAAAAAAAGAGTTTAGAAAATATCTGGCCAGGCATGGCGGCTCACGCCTGTAATCCCAGCACTTTGGGAGGCCGAGGTGGATCACTTGAGGCCAGGAGTTCGAGACCAGCCTGGTCATCATGGTGAAACCCCTATCTTTACTAAAAATACAAAAAAAATTAGCTGGGCATGGTGGGCATGCCTGTAATCCCAACTACTCAGGAGGCTGAGGTGGGAGAATTGCTTGAACCCGGGAGGCGGAGCTTGCGGTGAGCCGAGATCGCGCCACTGCACTCCAGCCTGGCCGACAGAGCAAGACTCTGCCTCAAAAAAAAAAAAAAAAGTCTGCAGTTGGGAGTTTCCATAGCACATTAATTCAGTGACTCAATAAAATCATCAAATGTCTAGGTTCTCGTGTAATCCTGGATGGTGGCTGTGTAGGCTGTCCTTGCTCTTAGGTCATACAAGCTGAAGAATTTTCGGTGAACTGTGTTAGCATCTGTAACATACTCTCAGATGGTTCAGTTAAAAAATGTAAACAAGCTGGGCACAGTGGTTCATGCCTGTAATCTCAGCGTTTTGGAAGGCTGATGCAGGAAGATCGCCTGAGCCCAGGAATCGTGGGCTGTAGTGTGCTAAGATTGGCATCAATATGGTGACCTCCTGGGAGAGGCAACCACAAGTTTGCCTAAGGAGGACTGTACTGGCCCTGGTCGGAAACAGAGCAGGTCAAAACTCCCACGATGATCAGCAGTGGGATCCTGCCTGTGAATAGCCACTGCACTCCAGCCTGGGCAACATAGTGAGACCCTGTCTCTAAAACAAAACAAAACAAAACAAAACAAAACAAAAGGGAAACCCCATTTCTGCAAATTTTTTTTTTGAGATGGAGTCTCACTCTGTTGCCCAGGCTGGAGTGCAGTGGCGTGATCTCAGCTCACTGCAACCTCCACCTCCCGGGTTCATGCCATTCTCCTGCCTCAGCTGGAATTACAGGCGCCCGAGTAGCTGGGATTACAGGCGCCCACCACCACGCCCGGCTAATTTTTTTTTTTTTTTGTATTTATAGTAGAGACGGGGTTTCACCGTGTTAGCCAGGATGGTCTCGATCTCCTGACCTCGTAATCCACCCGCCTCAGCCCCCCAAAGTGCTGGGATTACAGGCGTGAGCCACCGCGCCCGGCCAAAATTTTTTAAAAAATTAGCTGGGTGTGGTGGCATATGCCTGTGCTCCTAGCTACTCAGGAGGCTGAGGCAGGAGGATCACGTGAACCCAGCAGTTAGAGGCTGCAATGAGCCGTGACTGCACCACTACAGTCTAGACTCAGCAATAGAGTGAGACCATCTCTAAAACAGTAACAAAAAGTAAACATATATAAAGAGCAGTTAAGCAAACTGGGCAAATATTAACAACTGGTAAATCTAGGTGAAGGATGTAGCGGTATTCATTGTTATCCTTGCACCTTTTATATTAATTTGGAACTTTTCTAAATTACAAGTTGGGGAAAAACAAACCCAGTAAGTTCTTGCCGTCTTTCTGCTCTGCTACCTGCAACAGGGTCACCTGAGTTAAATGCTCAGCCATACCTCCTGATCACAGAATGGCTGCAACGGCTCCCAGGACCACACCCAAAGCCAGGAAAAGTGACTCCCTCCTCTATGTCCTTTAAAAGTGAGGCAAACAGCCAGGCGCGGTGGCTCACGCCTATAATCCCAGCACTTTGGGAGGCCGAGGCCAGTGGATTGCCTGAGCTCAGGAGTTCGAGACCAGCCTGGGCAACACGGTGAAACCACATCTCTACTAAAATGCAACAAAAATTAGCCGGGCATGGCAGGGTGCGCCTGTAGCCCCAGCTACTCAGGAGGCCGAGACAGGAGAATCGCTTGAACCTGGGAGGTGGAGGTTGCAGTGAGCCAAGATCGCACCACTGCACTCCAGCCTGGGTGACAGAGAGTGACTCTGTCTCAAAAAAAAAAAAAAAAAAAGAAGAGGAAAAAAAAAAGAATGAGGCAAACATTCCAGACCTCTCTTCATGTTTCATTGGTCAGAAGATTAGCCAATCACTGACCCAGAGGAATCAAATTACTGCGATTGGTTTACACTCAAGCTTTAAACTCATTAAGACTCAGTGCTTAGAGACGGGGCAAGATGGCTCACGCCTGTAATCCCAGCACTTTGGGAGGCCAAGTTGGGGAACACTTGAGGTCAGGAATTTGAGACCAGCCTGACCAACATGGTGAAACCCCACCTCTACTCAAAATACAAAAATTAGCCACGCGTGGTGGCATTAGCTGGGTGTGGTGGCAGGCGTCTGTCATCCCAGCTACTTGGGAGCCTGAGGCAGGAGAATCACTTGAACTTGGGAGGCGAAGGTTGCAGTGAGCCAAGACCGCACCACTGCACTCTAGCCTGGGTGACGGAGGGAGAAACTATCTTAAAAAAAAAAAAAAATTCTGTGCTTAGGCTGGGTGTGGTGGCTCACGCCTGTAATCCCAGCACTTTGGGAGGCTGAGGCAAGACTGTGTGGAGGCAACCATTTCCTTACTGGTGGAAGGGGAAGGGAAAGGGGGGTAGGGTCACATGGACCAATAGCTGTGTCCCATCCAGATGGGCTATGACCCAAGCCAGGCCAATGAGAATCTGCCCTAGGATGTTGGTTGGGGATTCAGAACTGAGAAGGATATACCTGGAGGGTGCTAGACCACCTCAGGGAGCAGACCGAAACCCCCTAAGCCTTAGCCATGTTGAGCTTTTTTTTTTTGAGACGGAGTCTTGCTTTGCTGCTCAGCCTGGAGTACAGTGGCGTGATCTCAGCTCACTGCAACTTCAAGCGATTCTCCTGCCTCCCAAGTAGCTGGGACTATAGGCACACCGCACCACACCTGGCTAATTTTTTTTTTCTTCCCGAGACATTGTCTTACTCTGTCACCCAGGCTGGAGTGCAGTGGCGTGATCTCGGCTCACTGCAAGCTCTGCCTCCTGGGTACACGCCGTTTTCCTGCCTCAGCCTCCTGAGTAGCTGGGATTATAGGCGCCTGCCACCACGCTCGGCTAATTTTTTGTATTTTTAGTAGAGACAGGGTTTCACCGTGTTAGCTAGGATGGTCTCGATCTCCTGACCTTGTGATCCACCCACCTTGGCCTCCCAAAGTGCTGGTATTACAAGCGTGAGTCACCGCGCCTGGCTATAAAGCACTCTTGACTCAAAGTATCGCTACACACAGAAGACACTCAGGAACAGGAATGGGTCATTTCATGCAGAGAACAATGTGGTGGGCCAGGTCCAGGGAGAGCACACTCCAGCAGGGGGTCCTCCTCCCTCCCCAAACATAGACTCAAACACAGGTGAACACTCCCACGCGCACTTTATTAAGTACGGAAGGACAGGTCACAACAGGGGTGGAGGTGGCGGGGAAGGCCCAGCCCCCACCCACCATCACTGGCACACAATAAATAAATAAGTAAATAGCCAAGTGGGCACGGGAGAGAGGTGGTACTGAAAACACTGACCGCACAGGGGGACACGAAAGCCCCCCTTCGAGCTGTGGCCATCAACGCTGTACGGGTACCATGACCAGGAAAGGGTGGGGCTTGGCCACAGAAGCCCCAGAGCATCACAAGTCTTTGTAAAGGAGAGGTGTCTTTAGGACGTGGACCACTCTTATTTACTGACTGAAACCTGGACCCCTAGCTGGTCCCGTGAGACCCAGATTATCAAGGGGCCACTGTCTCTCAGGCTTCTGGACTGTTCTACTGAGGATCTAAAAGACCACTGGGTCACTATCACTTGGGGTCCTGATGGGTCCACCCAGGGACCTAGGACATGCGAGGGTCATCGTCACTTAGGCTTCCGATTGGTCCACTCGGGCTCCAGGACGTGAAAGGGTCACTATTACTTAGGAACCTAAACTGGTACCCCACAGGACCCAACATTGATGAGTCACTATCACTTAGCCTTTGGATTGGTCCACCCAGGACAATAAGGGTTGTGGTTCCCTAGACCTCTGGTTGACAAGGACCCAAGGGCCAGGACCTGAGGGGCAGAGAGAGCTCTAGAAGCCCCAGGGAAGGGGGAGAAGACTAAGTACTCAGGGATAGAGGGAATCTTCAGCAGGCACCAGGGCCCAGATTTCAAGGAGGGGAGGTGACAGGGAAGAAATAAGGCCACCTGGCTGGGTCAGGCCAAGATGAATCCATAGGGGACCAGCTTCTGGGGCAGCAAAGAGTGCCCAGCCACTGCTGGGAGGGGGTTGCAAGGGCCCTCAAACCTTCCCCGGGTCCCAGCCCCACCCCGGTGCAGAACTGGACCAAGGAGCCGGTTGTGCTTAACATGGCTCGTGACCCATCGCCTCCACCTACGGGATCAGGGAGTGGGGAGGGGTGGGCCTGTGGCTGCAGGTGCAGTGGGCTCAGTCCTCCAACCCCTCTGTCAAGTCTGCGATGCTCTCCACATAGTAATGGGGCACGAGGTCGTGCTGGCCGGCCGCTAGGTAGGCCTGGGCCTCTTCTAGGCGGGAGACTCCTGTGAGCGTGAGCACAGTGGTCATGCCGCAGCGGTGGCCAAAGAGGATGTCGGTCTCCAGGCGGTCACCCACCATAAGCGTGCGTGCGGGGTCGATGCTGAAGTTCTCCGTGATGCACTCGAACATGTAGGGGCTGGGCTTGCCCACCACCAGGGCCTGGCGTCCCGAGGCTGTCTCCACTGCAGCGGCCAGGCTCCCGGTGCCTGTAGGGAGATGGAGACGCAGTCAGCAGGAGGGCGGCAGGGACAGCGTCAGGCCCTGAAACTGGAAGTCCAGGGAGGTGGATTGTGCCAGGGTCAAATCGGCTGCTGACAGGAGCCAGAAAGCCCACTTCCGAGTCTCACTGTAGTGGTTAAGGGTAGAGACGGCAACCAGATGCCGGCATCTGGACTCCATCTCCACCGTTCTTGGCAGGCTAGCTAACCTCTCTGTGCCTTGGTTTCCCCATCTCTAATATGGGGATGTCTACGGCACTTATCTCATGTGGGTACTGTGAGGATGCGTGGAGCTACTGCAGGTAAACAGGGCCTGGCTCGGTCAGTCCTGCCTGAGGTTCGCGATTTCACCCTGACAGCCGTGGACCTTTGGACAAACCACTCAACCACCCCAAGTTTCTCCGGACTCCTGAGAAAGCGGAATCCAAGTAATGCCTACCTCCAAACGGGCGCTGGGCAACACAGGGGCAAGTGCTTTGTAAATGGAACAGCACTTAACAAATAGCAGTTGTGGTTACTGCTGCAGGAATTCACGCGGCTGGCGTTAGAAACTGGCACAGCCCCTTTGGAACACAGCGGGGCACAGAAATGTTCGCACCTCTGACCCAGTCCGCGTCCCCCGGGAAAGTGATCACAAGAAGAGAATTCCAGCTGGAGACAAAAAGCTGCAGGCTGGAAGACGTCTGTGGCTACAGTAACCGATAAGCCAAACTGTGGAACACTCCCGAGTGTCCAACAATAGGAGGACTGTTTAGAACTAAAGGACAGTCCTGTCTTCCAGCCCAGTACCATCCTGCCTCACACAATAAGTCCACTGTGCCTGTCCCACAGACGTGTCTTTGTGCCAGAACATTCGGCCTTCATGCTAATGTCCCTGAACAAATGATGATAATCACCATTTACTAAGCACATTCTAAACTGCCTGGCCTGTGCTGGGTGTTTCTGGAAGCCCATTTTACAGATGAGAATGCCAAGGCTCAGGGACATTAAGTAATTTGCCCAGGGTTGTACAGCTTCATAAGTGGCAGCAAAAGGATTTGCATTCGGGTGGGTCCAACCCAGCTCTGACCTGGGAGTACAGATTGTTTCCTATGCAGGAATTTTATGAGCTGGTTGTTAAAGGAAGGTACTATTAAGAGTCACTTTATGGCTGGGTACAGTGGCCCATGCCTGTAATCCCAGCACTTTGGGAAGCACAGGTGGGAGGATTGCTTGAGCCCAGGAGTTCAAGACCAGCCTGGGCAACAGGGAGATCCCATCTCTACTTAAATATACATATATATTTAAAAAATTAAAAAAAAAAAGAAAAGCTGGCTGGGCACCGTGGCTCATGCCTGTAATCCCAGGACTTTGGGAGTCTGAAGCAGGCGGATCATCTGAGGTCAGGAGTTCAAGACCAGCCTGACCAACATGGTAAAAATCCGTCTCTACTAAAAACACAAAAATTAGCCAGGCATGGCGGCGCATGCCTGTAATCCCAGCTATTTGGGAGGCTGGGGCAGGAGAATCACTTAAGCCCGGGAGGCGGAGGCTGCGGTGAGCTGAGATGACGCCACTGCAGCATTCCAGTCTGGGCGCCAGAGCTAGGCTCTGGCTCAAAAAAAAAAAAAAAAAAAAAAAAAAGTCAACGTATTCCAGGCACAGCTGCATTTAAAATAAATAAATAAAAGGCCCAGCCTGCACCATGAAACCCCGTCTCTACGAAAAATAAAAAAATTATTGGCCTCTGTAACACCGACATCCGGTCCAGGGCACTCTTCACTGCTGTCATCTTGCGAATTTGGCCCTGCAGGGGAGGCAGGAGCAAAAGGAGGCCCCTCCACGGTGGAGGGTTTGAGTCAGACAAAAGCAGGTGGCAGCAGAGGCTGACTGGCAGTGGTCAGTGTGTGTGGACAGGTTAATAGCCCAGTGAGTAGACTGGGGGTGTGGACAGATCTCTGTCACTCCCTCTCTGCTGGCCACTGACCCGGACAGTCATTGATATTAAATCCTGGGGGTACAGGATGATATTGAGTGAAGAGAAGTGGACACAGGATTATAGTGGGGTACAGTGGCATATACCTGCAGTCCCAGCTACTCAGGAGGCTGAGGCAGGAGGAGTGCCTGAGCCCAGGAGTTTGAGATTAAAGTGAGCTGTGATCTTGCCGCTGCACTTCAGCCTGGGTGACAGAGCGAGACCCTGTCTCAAAAAAAAGTCAGCTTACAAACTTACAACTATATGATTTTTTTTTTTTTTTTTGAGACGGAGTCTCGCTCTGTTGCCCAGGCTTAAGTGCAGTGGCGTCATCTCGGCTCACTGCAAGCTCCACCTCCCGGGTTCATGCCGTTCTCCTGCCTCAGCCACCCGAGTAGCTGGGACTACAGGCGCCCGCCACCATGCCCGGCTAATTTTTTTTGTATTTTTTTAGTAGAGATGGGTTTTCACTGTGTTAGCCAGGATGGTCTTGATCTCCTGACCTCGTGATCCACCTGCCTCTGCCTCCCAAAGTGCTGGGATTACAGGTGTGAGCCACTGTAACCGGCCCATGGTAATCTTTTATTTATTTATTTATTTAGAGATGGAGTCTCGCTCTGTCACCCAGGCTGGAGTGCAATGGAGCGATCTCAGCTCACAGCAACCTCTGCCTCCTGGGTTCAAGCCATTCTCCTGCCTCAGCCTCCCAAGTAGCTGGGATTACAGGCGCGTGTCACCACACCCAGCTTATTTTTGTATTTTTAGTGGAGACAGGGTTTCCTCATGTTGGCCAGGGTGGTCTCGAACTCCTGACCTCAAGTGATCCACCTGCCTCGGCCTCCCAAAGTGCTGGGATTACAGGCATGCGCCACTGTGCCCGACCTAAATGATAATGTTTAAAACAAAGGTAGTAAGTTCTCAAAACTCATCACTTCTTAGTTACTGAACCACACTAGCCTCTGCTCTTTTTGCTCTTGAGGTTCCACCGTACCTGTGATGGTGGAAATCCTGTATGAAGGTGTGTGCTACTGCACATCTCTTCCTGACCCCACGTTCAGGGACTGACTGCACGTTGGTAGCTCAAGATCGGCTGTACTGGGAGTATTTACACCACAGAAGCCAGCACATGGTATAATCATGGCTTTCCCTGCTATTCCATGTTTCTCAGCGCACCACTGGTCTGACCCCAAATGCTCTGGGCCTCCTGTCTCCCTTCCCAAGGCTGACAACACTCCACTCAGTTAAGCCAAAGGCAAAGATGGGGAAGGGGAACAAAGGGGAAAACAGGCGGGGAGAGCAAGAATCCTCAGCCCTGCTGTCCCCAGATGAGGAAGAGAAACTTCCCAGGCTCACAAGATCAAGGCCGAGGTGGGCCAGAACTCATGCTTTCAGGCTGGCCCAGGGCAACACCCCTGGGAGTTCTCCCCTCATCTGACATCTTGTGACCTGCCTATTTTAAGAACTTGGTAGAGAATAAAAATTAGCTGCGTGTGGTGGTGGGTACCTGTAATCCCAGCTACTGGGGAGGCTGAGGCAGGAGAATCGCTTGAACCTAGGAGGCAGAGGTTGCAGTGAGCCAACATCAGGCCACTGCACTCCAGCCTGGGTGACAGAGCAAGACTCTGTCTCAAAAAAAAAAAAAAAAAAAAAAAAAAAAAAAAAAAAAAAAAATTAAAGAAAAAGAGAGAGAATAAAAGCCACGTGCTCCGTTGGTGAGCGATTCCTTCTGGGACAGAAAGGGCTTCCACTGAGTCATCCCAAAATGTTCTTCTGAGCTCAAGAATGGCCCCAACTCTGTCCTTCCCCACCAGGATGGAGCTGTTCACCTTTGGGCCCTGTGTCCCACATCCTTCATTCAGCTAATATTTACTAAGGCCCAACTACATGCCAGACACGGGATAGAGCAGTCAACACTACAAAGATCCTGACCTCAGGGGAGCGAGCCTCCTAGCAGGGGCATCTGGGAACATCGCCGTCTCCCAGGCCACCATCATTCCACTCCCCTCCACTCTGTAATCCACCGCTCTGCATGTTATGCTGATGACGTATTCCTAAGACAGCAGGCCTTTCTATTTGTCAGCTCAAGTGGCTGCCATGTGGTGACAAGATAAACACACAATTTCGGAGGTCCCTGGGGCAGGGGAGGAGGAGTTGGGGGTGAGATATTTGCATTATTTCAGACATACACATCATGGGGGCTTTTATTAATATTGTCACACCACACCACACCACACACACACACCACACCACACCACACTGTTTGAAAGCTGCATCAAGCTGTGCACAAACATGATCGCAGTGCTGTATTTGTTAAGCCTCTGCCTCCCCCTCTAGGCTATGGGAGTGACAGCAGGATGGGTGGGCACAGCCAGGTGGCTACTGAGACCAAAGGGGTCTGGATTCCACAGACGCCTGCAAGGCAGGTGTGGGCAGGGCCTGGTTTCTCCCTAGCTCCTTGACAACCAGCCTTCCTGAGCCCTGGGGAACCTCTTAACCCACAGCCTTAACCTGAGCCTTGAGGCCTCCTGGGAAAAACTTTTCATAGCATAGCCTAAGGCAGGCAGGAGCTGCTGCCGCTGACAGCCCTGACCAGAGAGCCCTCAACACAGACTTATAGGGAAACTGAGGCTGAGGTGAGCCCGCCCACATACCAAGCAGGTGTGCAGCACAGCCAGGAGAGGCCAAGGACTACAGAATCCCTCTCTGCCATGCCATAACACTGGGTTTACATCTCCTGGTGTATTATCACTGCCCTGCATCATGCCTCCTCCAGGAAGTCTTCCTAGGTGCCCCTGGCACTAGGCCCTGCTCACCACCCCACCATAATCCTGTGTCTACTTCTCTCCACTCAATACCATCCTGTACCCCCAGGATTTAATATCAATGACTGTCCGGGTCAGTGGCCAACAGAGACGGAGTGACAGAGATCTGTCCACGGCCCCAGTATACTGACTGGGCTATTAACCTGTCCACACACACTGACCACTGCCAATTAGCCTCTGCTGCCACCTGCTCTTGTCTAACGCAAACCCTCCACAATGGAGGAGCCTCCTTTTGCTTCTGCCTCCCCTGCAGGGCTGAACTCGCAAGATGACAGCAGTGAAGACTGCCCTGGAGGTCGGTGTCACAAAGGCCAAATTCAGGTTCCCGCGCTCTATCACTCTGCCAGAGAGTTGCTGGCAGAATTCTGCCCCACCCATCATTGGGGTGCGGTTGGAGGGTTGGAGGGGAAGCCTGCGAGGACTGTCCCTACTTGTGAGGGCTGAAACACCAATTCCCAGAGGCAGGATGGAGGCAGGTGTGTGGGGACACAGGAGGTGGAGGGGCTCACTATATCTGTTCTTGGGCAGCTCACTTCCCTTCTCTTAGTCTCAGTTTCTTTCCTCTTCTTTTAGAGATAAGGTCTCACTATGTTGCCCATGCTGAAGTACAGTGGCTTTTCACAGATGCAATGATAGCACGCTACAGCCTTGACCTCCTAGGCTCAAGCAATCCTCCCGCCTCAGCCTCTCGAGTAGCTGGGACTACAGGCTGTTGCCACTGCATCCGGCTGCCTCAGTCTCTTTACTTGAGAAATGGGACAATAACTTCCATCTCCAGAGTAATTTGGAAACCAAAGAAGAACACACACAAAGCTGTTTCATTAAGTTCTCTGTAACATGGGGGACTCTGGCTACAACTTACATCATCTGAACACCTACTATGTGCCAGGCACTCACCCTGATCACCGTCACCGGGCATGCTGAGCACTGCCATTTCTCACCCAGGCAGAGATGCTTGGAGGTTATGTAACTGAACACGATTACACAGCTGTGAAGCTGGAGCTGGACCTGGAACTGAGGTCAAACTCCACCGCCTTTGCTCCCCACACACCTGCCTACACCCTGCCTCTGGGAATGGTGTTTCAACCCTCACACAGGGGGACAATCCTCCCAGGCTTCCTCTCCAACCCCACCCCGATGGTGGGTAGGGCAGAATTCCGCCCAACTCCCTAAGTTACAAAGGGCCTCAGTTTCCTCATCTGTCCAACAGGGACCACACTGCTGCGCCTCACAGGATGACGGCTACAGGGATCAACCGCCCCCCACACCAAAGCACCCTGGGCCTCCCTCGCACTCTCCTGTTCCCCACCTGCCACCTGGAGACGCCTCTTCCCCGCCCCTCACCCTTAGGCGTGGAGGCGAATGCGCAGGTCGCCCCCATCTCAGTTTCCCCGCCATTCCCGCGCTCACCAGGGGTCCGGCTGCCGTCGCTCAGCGGGTGCCATGGGTCACGGTCGGTGGCCACGAGTAGGCACTCGGGGTCGCGCAGGTGCGCGCACGCCTCCCTCAGCTTGGCGAAGGAGAAGTGCTCGTCGTAGCCCACAAGCACGGCGCGCACGCGCGGGGCCGCGCCGTCCCCCGCGCTCGGGTCCCCGGCCAGGCGCAGCCCCGCGGCGCGCAGCTCGGCGCGCAGCCCCTCGCCGCCCAGCACGAACACGGCGCCCGGCGCGTCCGGAGGCCCGGGCAGGCGCTGGCGCAGCAGGCGCGCGGCGCACAGCGCGGAGCTGAAGAGCTGCTCGGCGCGCAGCCCCCCGAAGCCGAGGCGCGCGAAGCGCAGGGCCAGCTCGGGCCGCGCGCGCCGGCTGTTGTTGCTCACAAACAGAGCCGCCTTGCCGGCCCGCGCCAGCCGCTCCAGCAGCTCCGGGGCGCCCGGCACGGCGCGCTCGCCGTTCCACAGCACCCCGTCACAGTCGAACAGGACCCCCTGCGCCCGGCCCAGCACGTCGCGCAGGGCCGCTCCGCGCAGCCTCTCGCAGCGCGCCATGCAGCCGGCCGGCCGCCGGCCTCCCGCGCCGCGCTCTCTCCGCGGGCACGGCGCGCTCTCCCTGGCACGTTCCACGCAGCCGCCAATTGGCGCGCTGGAAGGACCGGGGGGCGGGGCGACGGCGTGGCCTGCAGCCAATGGGGGCGAGAGTCTGGGAGAGGAGCGAAGCCGCGAGCTAACGGAACTTGGAGAGAGGGGCGGATTCGTGGCCAACACCGAGGGGAAGGGACCAATGAAGAGCTAGCTTGATCCTTCTCCCCGTCCCTGGTTCTGCTGGACCAGTCGCCGCCGAGTTTCAACGCCGACTACACTCTTACGCGGTGGGAGACTGACGCTCTTCTTAACCAATAAGAATCTACAAACAAAACGCGAAGCGAAAGGCCCCGTGCCCTCCAGCCAATCAGAAGCTTAGGCGAGCTGGTTGCTGGGAGAAAAACAGATGTTAAATGAACTGCCTTTGGGTCGAATCTCATTGCCCCCTGAATCGTGGACGCTCCAGTTCAGAGCGAAGTCCCAAGAAACGTGTGTGTACGATGGGGTACGAGGCACATGGTGTCTTCTTGGGTGCTGGAGCCCTCGGTCTAGACCAGTAGTTCTTCACACTGCGTTAGAGTCCCCTGGGAACTTATTTTCAGATATCATTTACATATAGTAAAATGCATAGATCTTAAATGTACAGTTCAATGTCTTGACAAATGCTTTTGAAATCACCGATGTGTAGCAGGACAGATCCTCATGTAAGTGTTTTGGGTGAAGACTGGGCATTTTTTGGTTTGTTGGTTAGTTGGTTTAATTCCAGGGATTCTACCGTGAGCTAGGATAGGGTAGGGAAGCACTGGGCTAGAGGCTGGTAGGCTGTCACTGCAGCACGCCCCGGGAGGGCAGGATCCAGAATGGTCGTGGCCAATTGCCCAGAATAGTAATGGGGTGACCCAGGTTGGCTGGGTCCCTGTCTTAGGGAGGAGGCCTTGTGATCTGGAAGCAACCACAGGTCTTGGGACCTTTGAGGAGCCACTGGTCTGCAGTGTGGGGATGAATGAATTGTGAGCTGTGGTGTCACAGTTTTGAAGTTGTCTGCCAACTTCAGATAAGGCTGTGACCCCCAGGAGCAACTGGAGCTCCAACGACTTGGGAAAAACTGTACCTTGTACCCAACCTTGGAAGCTCAACTAGCTCCTATTCCCCAAGTGCCCTAAGCCTTTTGCTCCTGGCCTTTGCATAGATAGTCTCCTTGGCCTGAATGTTCCTTTTTCCTTTAAAAATTTCACCTTCAGGGCCGGGCTCGGTGGCTCACGCCTGTAATCCCAGCACTTTGGGAGGCTGAGGTGGGCGGATCACGAGGTCAGGAGATCGAGACCATCCTGGCTACGGTGAAACCCCGTCTCTACTAAAAATACAAAAAAAAAAAAAAAAAAAAAGAAAAAAATTAGCTAGGCGTGGTGGCGGGTGCCTGTAGTCCCAGCTACTCGGGAGGCTGAGGCAGGAGAATTGCTTGAACCCAGGAGGCGGAGCTTGCAGCGACCTGAGATCGTGCCAATGCACTCCAGCCTGGGCAACAGAGCGAGACTCCATCTCAAAAAAAAATAAACAAAAAATAAAAAATAAATAAAATAAATAAAAATAAACAAAATTCACCTTCAGGTCAGCTCCTGAAAGACTTCCCTTAAATATCACCTTCTCCAGGAAGCCGTTCTTAACCACCCACCCCATACCATGAGTCTAGGTTATATGGCCACCCCTAACTTGGCTAATATGGGCTCCCAGTGCAATGACACTTGATTTTTTTTGTTTTTGAGACAGGGTCTTACACCGTCACCCAGGCTGGAGTGCAGTGGCATGATCACTGCTCACTGAAGCCTCCAACTCCTGGGCTCAAGCGATCCTCCTGCCTCAGCCTTCCTAGTTGCTGAGACTACAGGCACACGCCACTACACCCAGTTAATTAAAATTTTTTTTTTTGTAGAGACAGGGTCTCACTATGTTGTCCAGGCTGGTCTAGAACTCCTGGGCTCAAGTGATCCTCCTGCCTCAGGCTCCCAGTGCTGGGATTATAGGCATGAGACACCGTGCCTGGCCAGACACTTGATTCTAATGGTTGCTTCTGCCTGTCTGTTTGGGAACTCTTTGGGTGTAGGGTTAAGTCTTGGAGCTAGCTCAGGGCCTGGCACAGAGCAGATTTAGGGAAGGTTTGAGGACAGATCCATCCCTGCTCCTTGGGGAGGCTTCCCAGCCTCCTCCCGGAAGGAGAGTGAGGGGTCCAGGAAACAGTGGGAGCGGTAGGGGCTTCTGTGGGCCAAGGGTGGTGCTTTGGTTTTCAATGGAGAGCAATACCTCTGTGGAGGGAATTGTTATAAAGTTTCACAAATGAGGAAAAGGGATACCAAGAAGTTAAGTAAATTGCCCAGAATGTGAGGGACAAGCCAGGCTTTGGAGTCAGACCTAGGCTCTAATCCCAGGCCCCTGCCTGACTGCCGTGTGACCTTGGCAGGTCACTTCTGTCTGGGCCTCAGTCTCCTCACTGCTAAGAGGTAATGGTATTTCCTGCAGTAGGAGAAGATTAAGTGGAAATCATCCACAGAACAGCACAGCATGTAGTGCAGAGAAAGCTCTAAAAATGTCTGCTGTGATCTCACTTCAGACAGGAAGAAAGGAGGCAAAGAATATGTATTGTTTTCCCCTTTATAAAATTGGCTTCTTTATTTCAAGGACAGAAAATAAAACTATCATTTGGGCAGCTGCTCCAGTTTTGTCCAAAATAATTTATTTACCAGCCTTACAAAAAACATGTCGGCAAGAGAAGAATCAGTCCCGTAGGAGCAGGCAAACCTCTCCTTCCTTCCGGTGGCTCCCCTAGGACCTGCCGGAGAGTGGAGAGTCCGGTGGGGGGGTCCCCAAGCCCAGGGTGGACGAGGAAAAGGTCAGGAAATAGAGGATTGTCCTGAGCCCTCCTGGCCATGGGGGCCGACCCAGTGGGCACTGAGGCACTTGTGGGCAAAGGCTGGAGGCCCATGCCCCTTTGTGGGGGGCGAGAGCTGTCCTGGGAGGGCCAGGTGGGGAGGGAGGGGGTGCTGAGGGCTGCTTAGGGAGAAACCAGCCACTCAGTTGGTCTCTGAGGCAAGGCTCCTGGGGCGGGGCTGAGGGGGGATAGCTGGGGGAGTGGGGACCCCACTGATAGCCTCAGGGGCTCCTCCCTCTGCTGTGGCAGCCCCCAGGTCCACCTGTGCAGGGTTACTCAAAGAGACTGGGCTGGGGGAGGCTGGACCTGGGGAGGCCGGGCTGGGGGAGGCTGGTGAACGCCGGCTTTGGCGCCGGGCAGGCTGAGGGGGTGTGGGGGGTAACGGGGGTGGCACTGTGGGGGCTCGGAGGCTGCTGCCAACCAGACGTCGGGGCAGGGCTTGGGGGGTCCCAGGGCTGCCAGAGCCAGGGGGCAAGGGCGGGGCTGGAGGGGAGGAGCGGGAGCCGGAGACCTGGGGGGGCGGCATGGTGGGCCGGGCTGGCGCCGGGCGCTTGGCTGTTGAGGAAGGAAAGGGTGAGGGAGGCTGAGTGTCCACGTGGCCTGTGGTGAATCCACCAAGCTCCGTGCCCCCTCACAACCTTTGCATCTGCTGTTCCCTCTGCCGGGAACACCGTTTCTGCGGCTGGCTCCTCATCGTCTAGGCCTCTCCTTGTGCCCTTTGCCCCCTTGGAGGCCCTCCCCGAGCACCCTAGTTAGAGTCCCACCCCATGCCCCACCCCAGCTGCTCCGTCACATTTTCCAGATGTATTTTCTTCGCAGGACTTTTTGTTCTCTGAAATTATCTTGCCCATTTATTTTGAATTTTTAAAAGTTCTTAAATTTTGAGACAGGGTCTCGCTGTGTTGTCCAGGCTGGTCTTGAACTCCAGGGCTCAAGCTAGCCTCCTGCCTCGGTCTCTCAAAGTGCTGGGATGACAGGTGTAAGCCACTGTCCCCGGCCTATCTTGTTCATTTTTATTTTACTGTAGACTACCTACCAGCCCTGGTCACGAGGCTCCCAGAGCTGTTCCGCCTATTCCTGGCTGTCCACTGCTCATTGCCTCCACTGAGTGTCAGTCACTCTCTCACCTGGTCAGCTCTGGGCCAAACTGACAGGTGAGTGTGCCAGAGGGGCTCAGAAGGAGGCCCCTGGTTTCTTCCCACCCCTGCCACCTCCTCTCCTTCACTGCCACTGCCTTTTTTCTTTTTTTTTTTTTGAGACAGAGTCTCATTCTTGTCACCCAGGCTGGAGTGCAGTGGCGTGATCTTTGCTCACTGCAGCTTCTGCCTCCCGGGTTCAAGTGATTCTCCTGCCTCAGCCTCCTAAGTATCTGGGATGATAGGCACCCGCAACCATGCCCAGCTAATTTTTGTATTTTTAGTAGAGGTGAGGTTTCACCATGTTGGCCAGGCTGGTCTTGAACTCCTGGCCTCAAGTGATCCACCCGCCTCAGCCTCCCAAAGTGCTGGGTTTACATGTGTGAGCCACTGTGCCCAGCCCCTTCACTGCCCTTTGAAGACTCCCTCCTTCCACTGTAGTCTGTGACCTCTGGGCTTCTGGAGGGACGGGACTCCAGTACCCCAGTACTCACGCCGGCTCCCCCTTAGTGGGCACGTGCTGTGTGCCAGGGCCAGGCACTCTTCCTGCAGCACCACTGCAGGCTCCATGCAGCCCCATAAGGTAAGTGCAGACACTGTCCCATTACACAGAGGAGGAAGGTGAGGCTCAGACAGGTGAACTCACCTGCCCAAGGTCAAATCTAAACCCAGAGTGCCAGGTGGCAAGACCTGGGCTCTTTATCACCTTGACTCCTGGCCTCCCCTGGCTGCCTAAAAAGATAGGAGGACCTGGGACTGCCTGTCCCCTCTCCCCGCCCACCCTCTGTCCCCTCCTCCCCTCCCACAGCCAACTCACTCCTCCGAGCCATGTCCTCCACTGGGGCAGCTGTCTCCGGGGGACTCCTGGTGACCTTGGGGGAGGCTGGTCTGGGAGGCACCTCAGACTCTGTCCTGCAGAGGGAAGGAGAGGATGGGGCAGACTTAGCCACCTCCCAGAAGTCTCATGGAATCCTGAGGAGTCTCCAGCTGCCAGGTGGAGTCCGGATCCTCCCAGCACTCGCTCTCTATCACTCTGTCCCCATGCCACGCACCCCTCCCAGAAGATGCTTCTGGCATTGGTTGGGGTCTGCATCCACTGAGCCCCTGGCTGCTTTGTGACCCTGTGACAGAGTCCATGTTCCTCTAGGGACCAGGAGGGAGCCCCACCTGCCTGGTAGGTAGGGCCAGGATGGGAGGTGGGACATAGGGCCTGACCTCTGCCTCAGCTCAGGGCCTCCATGTGGTTTTTTTTCTTGAGATGGAGTCTCACTCTGTCGCCCAGGCTGGAGTGCAGTGGTGCGATCTTGGCTCACTGCAGCCTCCACCTCCAAAGTTCAAGCAATTATCCTGCCTCAGCCTCTGGAGTAGCTGGGATTATAGGCACACACCACCATGCCCAGATTTTTTTGTTGTTGTTTTTTTGTAGTAGAGACGGGGTTTTGTCATGTTGTTCTTGAACTCCTGGTCTCAAGCGATCTTCTGCCCACCTCGGCCTCCCAAAGTGCTGGGATTACAAGTGTGCGCCACCTAGGCTTGTTTTTTTTTGTTATTGTTGTTGAGAAGTCTCGCTCTGTCGCTCAGGCTGGAGTGCGATGGCATGATCTTGGCTCACTGTGACCTCCGCCTCCTGGGTTCATGGGATTCTCCTGTCTTGGTCTCCTGAGTAGCTGAGATTACAGGCGTGCGCCACCATGCCCTGCTAATTTTTTGCATTTTTAGTAGAGATGGGGTTTCACCATGTTGGCCAGGCTGGTCTCAAACTCCTGACTTCAAGTGATCCACCTGCTTCAGCCTCCCAAAGTGCTGGGATTACAGGTGTGAGCCACCACACCCGGCCATTTCTTTTTCTTTTTTTTTTTTTTTTTGAGATGGAGTTTCACTCTTGTTGCTCAGGCTGGAGTGCAATGGCACGATCTTGGCTCACTGCAACCTCTGCCTCCCCGGTTCAAGCCATTCTCCTGCCTCAGCCTCCCGAGTAGCTGGGATTACAGGTGCGCACTACCATGCCTGGCTAATTTTTTGCATTTTTAGTAGAGATGGGATTTCACCATGTTTGCCAGGCTGGTCTCAAACTCCAGACCTGACGTGATCTACCTGCCTTGGCTTCCCAAAGTGCTGGGATTACAGGCGTGAGCCACCACACCTGGCCATTTCTTTTTGAGAAAGGATCTCACTCTGTTGCCCAGGCTGAGTGCAATGGCACAATCATTGCTCACTGCAGCCTCGACCTCCTAGGGTCAAGAAATCCTCCCACCACAGCCTTCTGGGTAGCTGGGACCACAGGTGTGCACCACCACACCGACCTCATTTATTTTTTGTAGAGACACAGCCTTGCTATGTTGCCCAATCTGCCTCCAAGTGATCTTTTTTTTTTTTTTTTTGAGACGGAGTCTCGCTCTGTTGCCCAGGTTGGAGTGCAGTGGCGCAATCTTGGCTCACTGCAAGCTCTGCCTCCTGGGTTCACACCATTCTCCTGCCTCAGCCTCCCGAGTAGCTGGGACTACAGGCGCCCACCAACATGCCCAGCTAATTTTTTGTATTTTTAGTAGAGACGGGGTTTCACCGTGTTAGCCAGGATGGTCTCGATCTCGCCTGCCTCGGCCTCCCAAAGTGCTGGGATTACAGGCGTGAGCCACCGTGCCGGGCCACGTGATCTTTATGAGATGCTTTGGCCACTGGAAGCCAGAGAGTGGGTGAGAAGCAGAGGGGGTCCTAGGCTCATTCCTCACTGCCTTCGGGTCTCTGCTTGGTCGTTTCTTCCTTAGCGAGGTCTTTCCTGGCCCCACAGCTAAAGTAGCCCCCACGCTCCCCCTTAACCTGCTCCCCCTCCCTTAGCAGCGCCTCTCCACCTGACACTATAGAGAGAACGCACTGGTGGCTGTGCTTGATGCTGTCTCTCTCTCTCCCTGTGCCCTGAAATGTGAGCATTTGTCTTGCTCATCAGGAAATTCAAGGTGTGAGCCGCAGTGCTCTGTGGTATCCTGAATAGTAGCTGCTTGGTATGGAGGCACCACGGTACCACGAAGCCCTTCCAGATTTAAACGATCAAAGAGAAGACGGTGGCCAAGCACTGTGGCTCATGCCTGTAATCCCAGCACTTTGGGGGACTGAGGCAGGCGGATCGCTTGAGGCCAGGAGTTCAAAACCAGCCTGGCCAACATGGGGTAACCCTGTCTCTACTGAAAATACAAAAATTAGCCGGCTATGGTGGTGCACGCCTGAAGTCACAGCTATTCGGGAGGCTAAGGCAGGAGAATTGCTTGAACCCGGGAGGCTGCAAGTGAGCCAAGATCTCGCCATTGCACTCCAGCCTAAGCAACAGAGTGAACTCCATCTCAGAAAAAAAAAAAAAAAAGAGGCTGGGTGCAGTGGCTTACACTTGTAATCCCAGCACTTTCAGGGGCCAAGGTGGGTGGATCATTTGAGGCCAGGAGTTCAAGACCAGCCTGGCCAACATGGCGAAACCCCATCTCTACTTAAAATACAAAAATTAGACAGGTGTGGTGGCACTCACCTGTAATCCCAGTTACTCGGGAGGCTGAGGCATGAGACTCAGTTGAACCTGGGAGGCACAGGTTGCAGTGAGCCAAGATTGTGCCACTGCACTCTGGCCTGGGCGACAGAGTGAGACTCTGTCTTAAAAAAAAAACAAAACAAAACTGGAAGGTATTTATAGATTCCAAAATGATCATCTCTTGAGTTCCCTAGGACTGGAAACAAAGCCTGGCATATAGTAGGTGCTCAGGAAATTGCTACATGATGAATAGGGCACACATCAGTGGCTGAGACAAATTCCGCCTCTGAGTCTCTGCCCCACCCTCTCCAAACTAGGAGATCCGGTCTTTGGGATGAAAACACTAATAATTACATTTCCAAAAATTCAGCTTCCAGCTCTGAGACATGGCGCCTCAGGCAGGCTGATTGTGGGAGTACCACAGGAGCCATTCAAGCCCCTCAGTCCTCACCTTTCCTTGGTAGCTGCTGAAGCCAAGGCTGGGGCCGGAGCTGGAGCTGGAGCCGGAGCCGGAGCCGGGGTGGTGGCTGGGGTGGGCACGGCAGTGGACGGAAGTTCCTCAGAGGCCAGCCTGTCACTGACTGTGTCCTGGAGGGTAACAGCTGAGAAGAGGCCTGACACGTTGAAGTTGATGTCTGGAGACAGAAGGAGCGGAGACGGCTCTCAGAGACCGCGCCAGGCTCCTCACTCCACTGGCCGGGACCGTTTCCCCTTCCCCTGAACCCATCTGGACCATGTTCAGCTTCCCCACTCCCGTGTGAGCCTCACCACCACCCCACAAAGCAGGCAGACCATCCCCGTTGTAAAAATGAGAAACTGAGGCTCAGACTTCCTCCTGGACTTATGGTGAGTTTGTGGGGCTACAGGGGAGGGAGCAGGGCAGAAGGAGGGCACCCAGCAGGGCGTCCATGCAGGCAGGAGCTTCACCTCCAGGGAAGAGGGTGTCTGCGCTCTGGATCAGCGCCTCGACGACGCCCACCACCTGGATGGAAGACACGGAGGCTGCATCCAGCTGGGCCTGGTCCCTGGGACAAAGAGATGCATCTGCTCAGCAAAGGGTTTGTGACCCCAACTCTCTGGCTGGCTCTGTGCTGGGCAATGGAGACACAAGGATCCATCATATTGAGTCCTTGTTCTCAAAAAGCCCACAAACCACCAGTTGATGGTAAATGTGTCACTCACATGCCAAATGTCCCCCTTCCTTCACCCTGACAGACATCACTAATTAATCAAGGACCCTTTTCCTCATAGTTGTGATCTGGACAGCCTCTACCAAGCAAATGCAATCAGCACGTGGGAGGAAATCTTGCCATCTGTGGCCAGGTAAATAATGATGACTCCTCACATAGCACTGCACTTTACACTTTAATTTTATTATTTCTTCTTTTTTTTTGAGACAGAGTCTTGCTCTCTCACCCAGGCTGGGGTGCAGTGGCCCGATCTTGGCTCACCGCATCCTCCACCTCCCAGGTTCAAGAGATTCTCCTGCCTCAGCCTCCCGAGTAGCTGGGATTACAGGCGCGTACCACCACGCCCAGATAATTTTTGTATTTTTAGTAGAGACGGAGTTTCACCATGTTGGCCAGGCTGGTCTCGAACTCCCGACCTCAGGTGATCCACCCACCTCGGCCTCCCAAAGTGCTGGGATTACAGCTGTGAGCCGCTGCCCCCGGCCTATTTCTTCATTTTTAGAGACAGGGTCTCATTGTGTCACACAGGCTGGAATGCAGTGGCTCCATCATGGCTCACTGCAGCCTTGACTCCCTGGGCCCAAGCAGTCCTCCCATCTCAGCCTTCTGAGTAGCTGAGACTTCAGGTGTGCACCATGCCTGGCTAATCTTTTTAATTTTTTGTAGAGACAGGGTCTCATTAAGTTGCCCAGGCTGGTTTCAAACTCCTGAGTTCAAGTGATCTTCCCACCTTGGCCTCCCAAAGTGCTAGGATTACAGGCATGACACTGGACCTGGCTTGCACTTCACAGTTTCTAAAACATTTTCCAATTCATCATATCACTCACTCCCCAAAGCAAAAGCCCTCAAAGTTTGTATGATTTCTCCCCAATTTACAGATGAGGAAATCGAGGTTCTGAGGGTGTCTTCCTCAGGCCCATCTCTGGAAGGTGGAGGGGTGGAGCTATTAGTAGAACCTGATCGAGCCAGGCGCGGCAGCTCACACCTGGGGCGCGATGGCTCACACCTGTAATCCCAGCACTTTGGGAG